>NC_000006.12:91700138-91851077 GCF_000001405.40 Homo sapiens | reverse complement strand
TCCCGCCACTGCACTCCAGCCTGGGCGACAGAGCGAGACTCCGTCTCAAAAAAAAAAAAAAAGATTAAAAGGGATTTCCAGTTTGTTAAGGGGGTATTGTCTGCATAATTCATTTTTAGAAAATGCAGTCAGAGAGAGTGGAAGGCAGACTGGCAGGCTTGGACTTGTCCCTCCTCCAGCCTCACAAATGGTAAGCAACATGCGGCAGGAGTTCAGGGTTTCTGTTCTGGAACCAAGTCTGTCTGGTTCAAATTCTGGCTCCATCACTGGTAAGTTACAGGACTTGGTGAAAGTTACTTCATCTTTTGGTATCAATTATGTGTTAAACACAAATAATAGACCCTTCAATACAGGATTGTTATAAGTTACACATACGTCATTTAGACCAATATCTGGCATATAGAAAGCACTCAATAATTGTTTGCTTGAAAATAAAAGCATAGCAAAGAACTTTATGTTAGTATTTTTTTCCTTGGGGAGAATTACTTTTGGTTTGGTTTGTTTTTCTCTGTTTTTGAGTTCTAAAACTACATCAATCCTTTACTGGTTCTCTCTAAGACACCCTAATTCGAAACCTCTGTGGGAAGATCTGCTATTATTTCCAAAGATTTGTTCTCCAGGTTATGCTTTAAATACCACTGTTGTCTGTTTCTATGCATTGGTCGTGAAAAGTGAGTAAGAGAAGAGAAAGAAGAAAGAATGGCTCATCCAGCGGTTTCTTTTAGTGAAGATAATGATTATGAATAGCCAACATTATTCCTAATAATCAAGATGACTGTCATCCACTCACTCTGAACTTTGAGTTCAGAGTTTGAGTTCTCCTATTCTGAACTTTGAGTATTTCTAGGGATTGGGCTACAAGAATGTTTCCCACTTTTGCTAAAATCCTCAAACTGTGTTATATTTTATATCATGCAATCAATGCAAATCCATCTACATTTCTCATTCCACATATTAGACACACTATCCAATTAAGTAATACCATTGTTTCCCCATTCCATGCATTACTTTGTCTTGTAAATCTGTACTACCATCTTGAATTGGAAGCAGCACTCAATTTTTTTATGCTGGGATTTTCATATTGACTTCTGAATCAATTAAATTCCTTAGTTCATCTTTATGTATCATATTTATGCATATCTACATCTAATCTTTGTTCCTAGTTTCCCGAATGTTTGTAATTTGCATTATTGCATTGTAAACCAATATTAGCTTTTGAATTTTTTAGAAGTTATATTATTAAACACAATAATGGGTAAATATCCATTTAATATATATGTAGCTAAATAAATATATATGTGGCTAAATATTTTAATATTATTCAATATATTAACATAATTCTTTAGGTTATTAAAAAATTCTGAATGGAGTGCACTTTCACCAGGGCAAAGCTAACTTAATACACATTCTTATTTGTTGTTATTAAAATTTAAAAGCATTTTTTCTGTATAGCACCTCACAGACATTAAGGATTTAGATTGGTTTTCTTTCTCTTAAAAATAAAATGTGTCTACTTTGAGAACAATGAATTCATTCATGGACCATATTAACCAGTCAATAATTTATGGCCCTTGTTTATACATAAGATATTAGATATATGCAATGTAAACCTTTAACTATGAACAAAAAAATGATTATCTTGTGATTAAAATAGACCTGAGAAATTTGACTAATGGAAGAGTTTCATCATTAAGGTCAAGGTTATGGCTTAAGTAAGGGGATAGATTTGCCTGCAAACAAACAAACAAACAAAAAACTATTTAGTCAGATGATCTAAAGCATGTACCTTTTTAGCCTTCTACCTCACTGTGTGGTTTGCAAGTGAAAATTTCACTGTCAATGAGCTCAGAATAAAGAAAAATCAAGGTTTTATCGTATGACAGTGATCCTAGCTGCTGTAAATAATGGCAGTGCTCCAATTTTTGAAATTCTTTTATTTTAAAACCAAACATTGGATTCCCACCCAATGTAATATGATTCTCAGCCTCTTTTGACTCAATTTGAAGGAAACATTTATGGTGCTTAAATTGTTCCTGAGAAGTCTATGCTCTGCAACATTTTAAATAAATGCATTTTATAGCAAACTTTCCCACAAAGAGTGAAGATAAATCTAAGAATGTATAATCACGTGCCATTCATGGACTGGTTTCACTTTTTAGTGGGTTCGATTGTTGTGCTCTCTTACCAAAAGGATAGTCAAAACTTAGAAAAGTGATATCTAAATGCACAGCTGGTTGTGTCTCTAATAAAATGACTACTCATATCTAAAATAAAATAAAATAAATTAGGAGAAAATGACGCTCAGATCCTGAGGCTGGCACCTACATTTCACTTTCTCTTTCCCTAACCTAAATATAATGTCAGTTTGAAAAGCCATGATGTGGATCTTCATCTGCTTTTGTTTGTCCTTTTGATTTCCTTTATGGGTTTAAATGTAATAAAATCAAGTAGCCATGTCTTAGCAAGTGGACACTGGTCCATTTTTAAGTTACGTGGATTATTCTTAACCTGGGATTTGACCCATTTTGTTGATTAGGAAATTTACTTCTGTTATTTCTTTATTTATTTTTAAAATCTCACTTCTTGGCTTTACAGTATACCTATGGGGGCCATCACATGTGGATGATGAATGTGTTTCTATTTCAGTCTACTTGTTTGGAGATTTAAGTGTTTTGTGTGTTTTGTGAACTCCAAATTTGACACTAAGAGGTATTCATAAAGGTTATTTTGTGGATATTTGGTAATTTCTGTGGCGATTTTCGTTTCCTCCAGGACTCTAGAGGAAATCACCTCTTCCAGTTGAGGACCTTCAGAGGCCTTCACATCCAGCCCTAACGTGCAGTGATTGGCAGGACCTCCAATTAACAGAGGTTTCACCAGTCAAGTGAAGAGTTAGTTACCTTTTATTATTACACTTTATAAGCTGACTGAATTAATTTAAACCTGTACATCATTTTTCTTTCTGGAAATTAAAAAGATTTACACTCACTATTTTGAACAAGTACATTTTTGCTTGCAGCTGTCAAAATACGCTGTCATTTCAATTATCTAGAGTGCCTATTAGTCACTTTTTAATAAAGTTCCAACTACTTTTTCCTGGTGTGTAATGAATGGCGTCCCTTGAACACCTTTTAAATATGTGTTCATGGCTCCTATAGATTTCGACAACTAGGTAGAAAATATTAAATAATTTAATAATAAAACCCTTTACATTCTTCCATGTTGCCAAGAGTGAACTTCTTTCCAGAAATTGTATTTTCTTTTTTTTTTATAACAACTCCTTCACCAAGGAAATTTATTTTAATTTAAATTCACCGTTCTTAGCAATCATCACAGCAACAATAGATGTTATAGTATTGATGAATGTGAGACAATTATTTTCTTTTTCACTGGAGCCATATATAAACCATTCATTTCATATACATATATGATATTTATCTTTTCAATTCATTTTCAGGTACTTTCTCTTCCAACCTGACTTTAAACTCCTGAAAAAGAGTAACCATGTTCATTCTTCTCTCTATTCTTCCCAATATTTAGCCAAGTTTTATGTACATAATTTGCTCTCATTAAATTCTTTATTAAGAGTAACTAAATAAACCCATATGTTCAGGTCCTTAAGGTCATCAATTATGCATCATTTCCACCTAAGAGATAAGGAAGCTGAGTCTCAATGCATTTGGCCAACTGATGATAAGAAGGTTACCTTCTAATGCCCAGAGCACTAATGCAAGATCTATTTCACCTCTCCATCTTGGCTCTTTTTCCTAGGCTGTGTTTACTCCTAGAAAGCTGTCCTTACTTCTTACTGTGCTTTTGTCAAAACAATCCTCTGAGGGCCTCAATTTTCTGCAGCTGTCATGTTGTTATCTCTAAGCCAATAATGGACACCCAATAACTCTTTAAAACATTGAAATTTTTCCCCTACTCGCAAAAGTTTAATCACTGCTTTGTTCATCCTTAGTATTTTCTTTTTTTTGTTTTTTGTTTGTTTGTTTGTTTTTCTTTTTGTTTTTTTTAGACGGAGTCTTGCTCTGTCGCCCAGGCTGGAGTGCAGTGGCGCGATCTCGGCTCACTGCAAGCTCCGCCTCCAAGGTTCACGCCATTCTCCTGCCTCAGTCTCCCGAGTAGTTGGGACTACAGGCACCCGCCACCGTGCCCAGCTAATTTTTTTGTATTTTTTTTTTTTTTTAGTAGAGACGGGGTTTCACCGTGTTAGCCAGGATGGTCTTGATTTCCTGACTTCATGATCCGCCCATCTCGGCCTCCCAAAGTGCTGGGATTACAGGCGTGAGCCACCGCACCCGGCCCATCCTTAGTATTTTCTAACTCTCTTTTACCACATTTCACATTCCTCATTTCAATATAGACCTTTTCATAAGCTCTATCTTCTCCAGTAGATAACAAGCAAGACCCTGGGAGTTTTAAGCCAAATTTGGACCATCTGGGTATTTATTGCAACACTTAGCATACTTAAAGACTAAATCATATTATTTAAGACTATGGTTTCTCTAATTACATAGACTTGGTTTAAATTCAGTGAGACATTGGCCAGGTTATGTAACAAGTCTATGCTTTCCTTTTCCGATATATAATTTAGGTAACTGTAGTACTCTCCTTTAGATCTGTCAAAAGTAATAAATTATTTTATATATGTAAAACATTTAGAATAGTAGCCCTCACAGATTAGTGCTCTCTCTCTCTCTCTGTATATAGATAGATAGATGATAGACAGATAGATAGATAGATAGATAGATAGATAGATAGATAGAGATAGATATAGATATAGATATTATTTATTATTTTGACAACATGAAAGCATTTTAGGAATTCTATTCAGGAGGTCTCTTTAAAAATTACGTAAATATGTGTGTTAATAAGCATTATGTTTCCCTGAGAAAATTATTCATAACTTTTTATCAGATTTGCAAATGTACCCATGAATTTAAAAATGGTTAAGAACCAATGTTCTCAGTAGCTGTAATATACAAGAGTAGGCAGAAGAAAAATTGTCAAAGATGAGTGTATTGGCAGCAGAGTCCCAGCTTCTAGTGCAGCTGTTGAGGTCACAGCCAGTTGGTTGAAGTCTAGAAAAATAGACAAGGAGTACTGTGGGCCTCATACATCGACCCACTATCTGCCAAGCACTTTGATAATTTGTGGGAGAGTCCAATCCTGAGCATTCACTGGAATTAATATATGATGGTTTTTCTACCTGACAATCGTTATACTAGCCCTACATCCATTCCACTCCCATACCAACTGACCATCCTTATTATTATTATTTTTCTTAACTTTTGCCTTTTCTCCATTAGAAACTTTGCCAGAGATTGTAATCAAGGTTCACTTTTTTTCTTTTAATTAAGAGCCAGGTGTTTAATCCTCTTAGCCATTTAAAAATTATTTTTCCAACGTACATGTTGACTAGAATATTGAAAAATCTGAAAATGTTGGAATTTTCTATTTCATCACTCACATCCTGAAATTAACTCCTAGTAATTTCTTTTATTTATGCTCCGAGTGTCTGATTATTTGTCCAATCCTCTCTCCAGCTATGTTTTACCAGTCTGGATCTATAACTGCCCTCTTTGTCCTTCCAAAAATTCTAATATCTGCTTAAGTAATCCACAGTCAGTCTCTGAAGTTGGCTCCCAGAGGTTCCCACCTGATACATTCAACAGCTTACCATTGAGTGGAGAAACCAAGCAATTAAATAGGTAGAAACAACAAAGTGTGATGGATACAGAGAAAATACAGGTTGCTATAAAAGCATGTATCAGGAAAACATAACTAACCTGGCATTGGAAAACACTTTTTGTGGATGATATGTTTAAGCTCAAACCTGAAGCTAGTGAGGCATGAGTTAAGGAAGTTAGGTGATGTGAGCTTCATATGCATGAGGCTGAAATATAAACACAATATTAAGGATAAAGGCAGGCCCACCTCTCAGACTAAATAAAATATTATAAATATAAAGGGTATATTGTGACTCAGAAACCATGGATATTCCTAAAATTTTTCCTTGATAATCCAAATAACTTCTTTGCTTAATAAGTGTAACTGCAGACACCCATCTCTGCTTACATCCTGACCTTTCAAATGTGGTCTTACTTAATAAGACCACTTAACCTTCCGACCAAAAATGTATGGGGATTCCAATTTCACCCTTCACCAACACTTGTTATTGTCTGTCTTTTTTTGTTTTGTTTTGTTTGTTTTTTTTGAGACAGAGTTTTGCTCTTGTTGCCCAGGCTGGAGTGCAATGGTGCAATCTTGGCTCACTGCAAACTCCACCTCCCGGGTTCAAGCGATTCTCCTGCCTCAGCCTCCCAAGTAGCTGGGATTACAGGCATGTGCCACCACACCCTGCTAATTTTGTATTTTTAGAGGAGAAGAGGTTTCCGTCATGTTGGCCAGGCTGGTTTCAAACTCCTGACCTCAGGTGATCCGCCCGCCTCGGCCTCCCAAAGTGCTGGGATTACAGCCGTGAGCTACTATGCCAGGCAACTTATTTTTCCATTTGAGTATGTTTTGCTAATTTTTTTTTTTAAGTACCCTGGCTAAAACCTCCAGTAGCATTTTGAATAGAAGTAGTGAGTGAGAAGATGCCTTCTGTTTTCCTGATTGTATGAGGAAAGCATTCTTTCTTTAGTTATTGAGCATGATGTTAGCTGTAGATTTTTCATGAATACTTTTTCTCAGATTCAGTAAGTTTTCTTATATTCCTAGATTTTTAAAATCTTTTTTATCAAGAAAATGTGTTTGATTTTATTATAGAAAATATGTCTTTTGTGTCTATTGAGAAGATTATGTGTTTTTTTTTTATTTTATTGATATGGCATATTATGGTGATTGTGTGTTAAACAAATCTTACATCCTCAAGATAGATCCTACTTGGTGGGTAATTCTTTCTATATGTTGCTAGTATTTTGTTGAGACATTTTGCATATATATATATTTAAAGAAATATTGTTGTTTAGTTTTCTTTTCATATGATGTCTTCACTTGGTTTTGATATATGAATAATGCTGGCCTCACTGAATAAGTTGAAAAGTTCTATCTTTTTGGAAGGATTTGTAAAGAACTGATATTAAACCTTCCATAAATGCTTGTAAATTCATCAGTGAAGTTTTTTTGTGTGGAAAGTTTTGTAAGATACGAATTCAGTCTTTTTTATATATTGATGTTCTATTCAGGATTTCTATGTTTACATTCTCTCATTTTATTTTTGTTTTTGTTTTATATATGTGTCACCAACAGACCACAGCTAGATGGAGATATCAAATCTATTCTGATTTTCCAGAATTTAACCTTTAATAGACTTATTCAATCTATTAATATTTTTATTAGGAATAGCAACATTTAGAATATTTGTTATATTTTGTATATTTGGGTATATCCTTTTCTTTCTTCATTTTTATCATTTTTTGCTTTCTGTTGGATTAATAAAGCTTTCTTTATCCCTTTTTATTTTTTTCTCAGACATTATTTAATATGTATATTTCTTTCACCACAGTCACTTCCATTATACTCCCTAGAAGTGGTCATTGTTAACAGCTTGTGGATATTCTTCCTGAAACTTTCTATGCACATACAAACATACACTGTTTTATACAAATTGAATTATATAATACATACTGTTATTCAATCAACCGTTTTCTTTAAAAATAAATCTAGACATCTGTCGAAGTTAATAGAGAGTTATCTTATTCTTTTGTTAAACTGCTGCATAATAATTCATGGTTTGGAAATTCCATAATTTACTCTTACTAGATTTTTGTATTATTGTAAAAGTAAGATATATACTTACAAACTAATCAACCAGTATCAAAGTATAAAATGATAATTGAAGGCTACAACAAAAAGGTACAATCTTATTAACATTAAGAAAGTCCTTTATAATGTGGCTTTTATTTGTTTGTCTAGCCTAAGTGAATGACAATCCATCATTATAGCTCTATGATCCGGCCGAGTCATCTATTTCATAAATCCAGTACATGTCCCAATCTCTCTTACCTCATAACCTTTGCGCATTGTTCTCACTCTTCTCCAGCTCTAATGAGCCTAATTTAACTAGCTTAATCTTGATCTTCCTTTAATTATCAGGGCAGATGTTATTCTCTCTACACACATTTCTGCCTTTCTAGATTCTCTCCAACTCTGGATTTGATGCTCCTTCTAAGTCCACACATAGCAACTTGAATTTCATTTTGGCACTTAAAAGCATATTAAAATAATGATTTTAAAACAAAAATGCCCACTGTCACCACTCCTATTCACCATAGTATTGGAAGTCCTATCTGGAGAAATCAGGCAAAAGAAAGAAATAAAAGGCATCCAAATTGGAAAAGAGGAAGTCAAATTATCTCTATTTGCTGATGATATGATATTATACCTAGAAAACCATAAAATCTCTTCCAAAAGACGTCTAGACTTGATAAACTGGTTTAGTAAAATTTCAGGATACAAAATCAACATGCAAAAGTTAGTAACATTTCTATACATGAATAACATTCAAGTTGGGAACGAAATCAAGAGCTCATTTCCATGTACGATAGCCATAAAAATACCTAGGAATATATTTAACCAAGGAGATGAAATATATCTACAAAGAGAAGTTTAAAACACTGATGAAATAAATCATACATAACACAAAAGGAAAAATATTCCATGCTTACGGATTGGAAGAATCAATATCAATAAATGACAATACTTTTCAAAGCAATTTGCAGATTCAATTCCTACCAAATTACCAACATATTTTTCACAGCATTACAAAAATTTCCTAAAATTCATACAGAACCAAAAAGAGCCTAACCACAGCAATCTTGAGAAAAAGAACAAAGCTGGAGACATCACATTACCTGAATACAAAATATACTACAAGGCTATAACAAACAAAACATTATGGTACTGGTACAAAAATAGACACATAGATTAATGGAACAGAATACAGAACCCAGAAATAAAGTCACATACCTACAACCAGCTGATTGTCAACAAAGTCAACAAAAATATATAATGGGTGAAAGGACAACCTATACAATAAAAGGTGCTGTGGAAACTGGATAGCTGTATGCAAAATAATTAAGCTGGACCCTTATCTCTCACCGTATACAATTAACTCAAGATAGATTAAAGACATAAATGTAAGACTTGAAACTATAAAAATCCTAGAAGAAAATCTAGAAAAATTTCTTCTGACATTGGCATAGGCAAAGAATTTATGACTAAGCCCTGAAAAACAAATGCAACAAAACCAAAAATACCCAAATGGGACTTAATTAAACTTAAATGTTTCTGCACATCAAAAGAAATAATAAACAGACAGCCTCCAGAATGGGAGAAAATATTTGCAAACTATGCATCCAACAAATGACTAATATCCAGAATCTATAAGAAACTCAACTCAACAAGAAAAAAAAATCAAACAATCCAATTAAAAAGTAAGCATAAGCTAAAATCATGCCACTGCACTTCAATCTGGGCAAGAGAGAGAGAAACTCTATCAAAAAAAAAAAAGTAAAATAAGCAAGGGACATGAACTGATACTTCTCAAAAGAAGACATACAACCATGTATGGTTGCTCACACTAGTAACCCCAGCATTTTAGGAGGCCGAGATGGGTGGATCACTTGAGGTCAGGAGTTTGAGACCAGCCTGGTGAAGGGGTGAAACCCCATCTCTACTAAAAATACAAAAATTAGCCAAGGATGGTGATGCACCTCTATAACCCCAGCTACTTGGGAAGCTGAGGCAGGAGCATCACTTGACCTGGGAGGTGGAGGTTGTAGTGAGTTGAGACCACATCACTGCACTCCAGCCTAGGTGACAGAAAGAAGCTGAAGGCATCAGAAAAAAGCTGAAGGCCGGAAAAAAAAAAAAAGAAAGAAAGAAAGAAAGAAAGAAAGAAAGAAAGAAAGAAAGAAAGAAAGAAAAAGAAAGAAAGGAAGGAAAGAAGGAAAGAAGGAAAGAAGGAAAGAAAGGGAAATAATTTTTTAAAAAAGGAAGACATACCATACAAGTGGCCAAACCAACATATGAAAAAACGCCCAACATCATTAATCATCATGGAAATGCAAATGAAAGCCACAGTGAGATACCATTTCACAGTAGTCAGAATAGCTATGATTAAAAAGTTAAAAAACAACAGATGTTGATGAGGTTGTAAAGAAAAGAAAACATTTATACACTTTTGGTGGAAATGTTAATTAGTACAACCTCTATAGAAAAGAGTTTGTACAGAGATTTCTCAAATAACTAAAAATAGAACTAGCATTTGATCCAGCAATCCCACTACTGGGTATCTACCAAAAGGAAAATGAATCATTATATGAAAAAGACACCTGCACTTGTATGTTTATCACAGCACTATTCAGAATAGCCAAGTCATGGAACCAACTTCATGTTCATCAAAGGATGACTAGGTAAAGCAAAGGTGGTATATGTACACTGTGGAATACTATGCAGCCATAAAAAAGAATAAAATCATGACTTTTGCAGCAACATGAATGGAGCTGGAGGGCATTATCATAAGTTAAATAACTCAGAAACAGTCAAATACTACATCTTCTCACTTATAAGTGGGAGATAAACCATGGGTACACATAGACATACAGATTGAAACAATAGACACTGACGACTTCAAAAGTGGGGAGGGTAGGAGGGTGATAAGAGTTAAAAAGTAACCTATTGGGTACAATGTTCACTGTTCAGGTGATGGGCACATTAGAAGCTCAAATCTCACCATTATTATGCACCATGTCCACATAACAAATCTGTAGATATATCCCATGAATCTATACAAAATAAAATGTAAAAGGTTGGTTTTCCTCTCAGGCTTAAACCATAAACTGCATGAGACAGAATAAGGCTGTCCAATTGACTATGGTAATCCAAAAGCTTAGCACCTATGGTAGGTACTCAACAGATATTGGTTGGATAAATAAAAGACAATAAATATTATTTATTTCAATATTGCACTTTGAGTTAGCTTGGTTTCCAACATGGCACTTGCTCCAACCAATCAATATATTAATGTGAGAAACCATAAATTATAAAATTAATAATTCTATAGAAGCTAATTGCAATTATTTAGACTTTTGACTTACAGAAGTAGCCATTTTTGAATGATATCTTTTTGTCTCTTCAACATACCCATCACATTAGTTGAAATTATTTATATTACAGGACTGTGGGCCTCAGATACAATGTTGCAACTCCAATAATATAATTAAATTTGGTTAGCTTATATATGACCCTTATTTATTCTACGAAAGGAAGAAACACTTTTTGCTTTGGGGAAAATTCTCTGCTTTACAAATTTATCTCCAGAAGATTGTTTTGGGAAGAAGAAACTCATTAGAAGGACTGCTAAATTTTTTCACCCCATTTAAGAATTTAAATTGCAGTGAACAGTTGAAAGCTATTGTAAAACAGTCGAGTTTTAGTTGACTAATTGCTAGCAATAGTCCCAAGTCAGTTCCTATGTTCCCTTTGAGAATATAAGAAATGTGTTCTTTGTCTTTTGCCCCTCAATTAAAGACATTACTATACTACATCTATTCCGACACTTGAGGTATTAGCTCTAGTTCCTACAATTTTCTCAACCCAAATATTTAACTCAATCCCAAGTGCTTCCAATGCTAAATCTAAGCTACGTCCTGAAACTATTATCTTTTTTCCAAGACACAGATACAGTTTGTTTTCTTGTCGTCTTTTGTTTGGACCCTTGCAAAACTCGAGTAATTGACTTCTTGTTTTGTTCTCTCCGTAATCCAATTTAGGTTTATAACAATGACCATATGTCAATAACACAGATCTTATCATGTCCCCCTCACCAAAATACATACCTAATGCCTGTGCATGATTCTGCATAATCCCATGTCAGAGGCCACTAGAATGCCCTGTACAATAGAAGTAAAATATGACACATATGTTTAAGACACACTGTAATTTTAAACTTTCTAGCGATTACATTAAAAGTAAAAAAAAGGGTAATTAGTTTTAGTAATATATTTTATTTAACCAAACGCATCCAAATATTTTATTTTACCAGTTAGTCAATACCGAAAACTTATTGATGGTTTATTTTATCTCTTTTGTTCTTAATAAACCTCTGAAAGCTGGAGTAGTTTACGCTAATTTTCAATTAGTCATACTGCTGCCTAAATAAATACTAGTAGTACGCAGAAGTAGTGATTCTGTTGCAAGTGTTGAATAGGACAGCTAAAATTCAGGTGGGGTTCAGTAATGGCAAATTTTCCAAGACAGAAGATTCCCAGCAAAGCTGGCAGCTCTGGGGTATCCTTTGTTCTAAATAAGGTATCAGTAACTTTTCTGGAGGTTAGAGACGGAGGTTGATGCAAAGTAGGGAGGATTATATCACCTTATTATTGTCCCTACTAAAAGTGGCAATAAATTAACACAAATTTGTATAGGTACCTTGAAATGATCTTGTATAATTGTAAGTATAAGAAGAAGAAAGTGTACCACTTTTCCTGAACCTTGCTGAAACTCACAATAAGATGGTCAGTTTTGATCACTGTTAGATGTGGGGCCTTGTTTGTGTATTTGCCAGGACTTAAAAGCAGTAATGTAAACGTGTAGCTCTTTCTCCCATTTGGCTACTTTTAGGCAGGTTTAACTTTCTCCAGTATTGTTTAGATTGGAGCAGACTTTAGGTCTTTCCAGTATAGAATGGCCCCCAAAACTGTACCATATATACTTATTCCTATAATCAAAAGGTATGTGTCAGGTTGCCAACAAAATCAGGATCTATAAGAAATAATGCTTTGGGGGGCAAGAAAAATTCCATTGACTGGCAAAGAACAGGAACAGGAGATTCCCATTTTCTTGGTGTACACATAAAGAAGCAGAAAGCATACAACACTTAGTGCCTATCAGTGTAGCATTATTATGTCATCAGCAGCTTCAGTTTTGTTTTTTGGTTTTTTTGAAACATAGTATAGATATCTTAGCATATCTTTCATTTAAGAGCATCAGCAATTTCTTTGTTTAAATTTTCTTTGTAACTAATCTGTATATAACTCTCATTAACTCCTTTAAGTTTTGTGAGTGCCTGGGTAAATTACTACTCTGTACCGAGAGCAGTAATTTACCCATCTTTCTTCCTCTCTGTTACAGCAACTCTCTTCTTCCTTCCAGCACAAGGGAAATGGCAACCAACTGTTGCCGGTTCACACTTAAATGACCACCTCTACCTGAGCTTGACTTATATACTTCCTCATTCTACACACAAAAATCCCAGCAAATTTTTTTTATTAGACCGGAGAAGTGAGGTTTGTAAAAATATAGTATCTTTTGGAGTGAAGGGGCAACATTTTCTAAATAAAAGAAAGATGCTTTCACATGAGAAGAATGGGATAGAAGCTAAACAATAAAGGGCTCTGCTTCCACATAAAGCAGAAAATAGAATTTACTTCTGTCCCTACAGGCAGTTTAGATCACTGCTGCATTAAATGGCCTAGAGGAGCTTGTTCAGATCATGACTCTGATGTTTTACAGGCACTCTAACATGCCGTATGCTCCTCTCCTTCGATATGCCATTTTTAGTAAGTGGTAAAACGGTACCCCTTGTTCATGCCAAATATTTGAGAACTATTCCCTATGTTTCATCTGCCACATATAATGGGTCACCAGTCTTCTAAACTCTAATTCTTACTTGTCTCTTGAAACCACCTGCTGCTGCTACTTTCATTCCCACTACTTTTGCCCAAGCCATCATCTCTCTCCTGGGCACTGCAATACCTTCATTACTGTTTGCCTGGATTCTCTAGGCCCCCTATGACTCAAACTCTACACTGTACCTTGAGGGATATTTTAAAAGTGCACATCTGGTCATTTTACTCCTCATTGGTTCAATGGCTTCCCACTGCTTATACAGATTAAGGTTTTAAGGATTAAGGATTTAAGGATTAAGACCTATATTCTTAACAAGTTCTCAAGATTTTGTGTGGTTAGACACCTGCTCACCTATTTAGCTTCCTTTCTCAAACTTCTCCTTTTAAAAATATATTTAAGTCAAATGGAATATCTTTCAGTTCTATGAGTTTGTACTCTTTTATCTCAGGTCTTTTACATGATTTTTTTTGTATGTGGAATACTCTCTCAGAATTTTTACTCCTATTCATTCTGTCTCAATATAGGCAGCCCTTTTCCCAGGTAAATTCACCCAGGCACCATGATGAGGTTGGTTCACATGTTAAATATTTCTACAGCATGCAGCATTTCCTTTTAGTGGTATCGAATACTTGCAATTATTTGTTTAATATCTATAAATTCCATGAGGGCATGGACCATACATTTTTTAGCCCTGTATTCTCAAAACCTAGTACAAATGCCTGACCCACAGAAGGTGTTAATGAGCATTTGTGGAATACATGCATGAATGCATGAATGAATGATCACACTGCTATAATTTGTTGTTCACAATTCTGTCACACATCACAACTCCTTTAACAAGTCCCAGAGGCTTTGCATCCCCATGTTTACTGTATTATATGCTTTATAGGAAGCCCCCAAAATAGATTGATTGATAGATTAACAAAAGTAGGTGATGCTTGCCCATGCCAAATAATTTTGGTTTATTCTATTTAATTCACCTTTTTTATTTAGGAGGAATTTTCTTTGTGGATATGAAATTGCTAGGTTTCCTATCTTTCATTGATCAGCATAAAATCAGATTACCAAACTTAATGCCTTAGTCAAGGGCCTAAACAGAACCTTTGAATTAATCTATGAAGTAACTGATAGGTGTGGGGCTACTGAGTTCTGCTATACCTCTGTAGTGCACAACCCCTTTCATGATATTCTTTTTTTTTAACTATGGACCCATATTTTCCCTTTTCTAACTTCTGTCATTCTGTTAGTTGTTGGAAATAGCTGCATAGCAGATCATTGCAAAGCTCAGCCCTAATTCCAAACCTGTAACTGGCAGTCAATAGGCAAAGACACACAGTGAGGATATTATGTTGACAAGTCACTCAAACCCCTTCCTCTATATGTAATCATTGTAAAAACTCTATGATTAGTACCTAGATCACTTATCTGTCTTTATAAAAGTCAGCCTGGTCACTTTTATAATGTCTCTTTATTCTTTACTGAGCACCTGATACATAATAAGACAAATGAGTTAGTCATTGGAGAAAAGTCAAAAATAAACATTGTCCATGTTGGATCTGTTATTGGCTCTTCTTGTAGCAAGGTAACCATGAATCAACACACTGTGGACTCCCTTGGTTTTATTCTCATTCACACAAGTGAAATCAAAAATGTATTTGGAGTCATTCTGTGAACCACCAAACAATGTGCCAGAGTTTTGGGGGTCAGGGTTAGAGAAAGAAGAAATACTAGATCAACTGATGCTCCTGCAAGATGCCCTAGAAGAGAAGGCCCGATGGGTTCATTTCTAATCAACACACAAAGTGTTCATATCAACATAACCATAGAAAGGGAAAATAATAACTCTTAGAAAATAAATCATTCAAAGTATTATTTGTAATAAAAGTGGACAAAATAAAGAATGACTGAAAGAACTGTGTGTGATATAGTGACTTTAAAGTGCCCTAGTTTCACACTGCATGTGTGACCAAAGTCATAAAATCCTATAAAATCACACGCTAAAAAATCAACAAAGTTATTCTGTGTTCTGTGATTGGTATACTTTGTTCCCATTAGTTCAATGAGTTTCTATTTAGTCCTTAGATGAACTTCACTTTCTGAATTGTGAATCTTTCCCCTATATAGCCTTTTATTTTATTTTGTATTGTTTTTGAGATGGGGTTTCCCTCTGTTGCCCAGGCTGGAGTGCAGTGGCATGACTCACTGCAACCTCCATGATTAAAAGAACTGTGCATGATACAAGTTCTCCATGATTAAAAGAACTGTGTATGATACACTTTAAAGTGCTCTGGTTTCATACATCATCTGTGACCAAAGTAATAAAATTCTGTAGAATCACACACTAAAAAAATCAACAGAGTTGATTTGGCCTTCTCTAATGCTTGTCACTGTTTAGCTTCTAGGTCATCGCTTCATCCATTTGATGATCACGTGATTAAGACTTTCTCTAAATAAACTTTGAAAGTTCTTGTTTTTTGCTCAGCCAAAAATATTCATAACTGTTTCAGACAATAGCTAATGTCTATACAACTCTTTAGCATGGTATATTTTGTTTTCTGGGGGCTGCCATAACAAAGTACCACAAATTGAGTGGCTTAAAATAAATCTACTCTCTCATAGTTCTAGAGCCTAGGAGTCTGAAATTAAAATGCTGACAAGGTCATGATCCCTTGGAAGGGTCTACAGAGGAATCTTCCCTGCCTCTTTCAGCTTCTGGTGGCCCCAGGCATTCCCTGGTCTGTGACAACACAACTCCTATCTCTGCCTGCTTCTCCTTTGACCATTTTCTTTCTGGTTAGGACTTACTCAAATGCAGTAGGATTTCATCTTAACTATTTACTTCTGCAAAACTCTTATTTCCAAGTAAAGTCACATTCTGAGGCTCTGGTGGACATGATTTGGGGAAATACTATTCAACCCACTACACATGGCATAAAATCCCCTATAAAATCTAATGTGGTTGAGCACAGTGGCACACAGCTGTAATCCCAGCACTTTGGGAGCCCAAGCTGGGAGGATTGCTTGAGCCAAGTCATTTAAGACCAGCCTTAGCAACAGCCTTGCCTCTACAAAAAATCATATATATACGTGTATATATATATAAAATATATATGTATATATATATAATAGATAATATACACATATATATGTGTGTGTGTGTGTGTGTGTGTATGTGCCTGTGTGTGTGTATCTGGGTGTGGTGATGCACACCTGTAGTCCAAGCTATTCAGGAAGCTGAAATGGGAAGATTACTAGAGCCTGGAAGGCAGAGGTTGCAGTGAGCCGTAATCGTGCCACTGCACTCCAGCCTGGGCAATAGAGGCAGATCCCATCTCAAAAACAATAAAAAAAAAAAAACCCAATCCTAGCACACTTCATTTTTAGACTATCCTTTAAATTACTACTAATTGCCTTTAATTACTCAGCTAGAAGGACAAAAATGATTCAAGAAAAGAAACCAACAATTACGGGGCTTATTTCCTGACACTGTGCCTTCCAAGGAAAGATGCATACATTTGAAGTAAATCTCATCTTTACTTAGGGACAACCAATGCAATTTTGAGTAGTTTGTTTTCCATATAAAGAACTTATGTTCCAAATAATCACAGAGTAAGTGTAATTATAAAATTAATAAACCACATGTTATATAGGTTAATAAGCTACAAAATAAAGCTGTTTCTATTTCTATGAGATGGCTTTAAAGTAACACAATGTAGAATAAAATATGCATACAGCATATAAAATAGTGTATTATAATTTTTCCTCAATAATTTACATGAGTTTTGTTTTTTTACTGAGCATTTGCAAGGACTTTCAGGAGACAGTAAATAGTTCAGGATTAACCAAAAACCTTATTTTGTTTTGGATAGATTCCTCTGTAGCAAACATGAAAATGTGAAATGTATTGAACTTAGGTATTTTTCCCAAATGTTACATTCAGCGCTTAGTAAATGTGCTTGTTATCAATGATGATAATGACAAGAAGGAGGAAGAGGAGGAGGATATGGAGGAGAATGATGGTCTCTTCAAATGAGAAGCTCTTTAAATGTAAGAGAGCCTCCACTATTTTTATTCCCACCTACCCTATAAACTCCTTTTAATGCAAATTCAGAAGTAAACTTTTTCATAACTACTAAATAAAGGCTTTTTGGAAATTATAAGAACACAAGTACTGAGTACCAATTGTGAGCATGTACAAAGCACCAGGAGGGTAACGATGAACTAGACATGAGATTCGGCTTTATTCTAGCTGGAGACCAGGAACAGTAAGTGGTAATGAAATCACCATCACATACTCTGACAGCGCTGGCCTAAGGAGCCTTGGAATGCACGACAATGTGCTTCCTGTATCAAAGTCAAGCGGTTGGAGAGGGGCTTCTGAGGGTAAAGGACACCTCAACTGAGATCTAAGGGTTGAAGATGGAATTACTATGTAGAGAATTACAGGGTAGGAATGGCAGACAGGCAAAGCAGGAAGAGTCAGAATTAAAAGAAAAGAGGTTAAAAGAGCCTGGTGATTCCTGTCACCTTTTGACATGCATTTGAGTGTTCCTATGGCATTTCAAATGAGGAAGAGTAATTCGATAGTTTTCTATAATGTTTTATGGCTTTCCAAGTACCCCCATATATATTACCATAATGTTCCCTCATACCTATTTTTATGGTAGGTATCTGTGATAAGTATTATTACCCCCATTTAACAGATGAAAACATTAATTTGTACTTAAATTTAAAATAAACTGCTTTAAATATGACACTGAAGAAAAGCTCTTTTTTATTTAGTTCCTTCCTTCTCTTTATTTTCATCTTCCATATACTTATGTTCCTCTTTAAGGGAAAAGCATAACTTAAAATTAAATGAAATAGACGTTGAAAATCAAAATCATCTCTCACAGAATTGCTACAGTAGCATAAGATAATTACACAAGCACTCACTATTACCTTAGAACTTGAAAAATGGGAGGAAATAATTTAAAAAGCAACACTGTTAGGTGACTATTAATATCACCCAGTTACAGAAAGCAGTACGAGACCCAAACAGCATTCAATCCACAAGTAGGTTTAGGACAATCACTGCACAGGGCTCAGCTTTATTGTTTGCTTAAAACCTGTGTGCCTGACATTGTGTAGACATATATTATATTTAAAAAAAAATATTAAATGAAAAACTGAAAAGGATTGCACAGATCAGACACCATTTTAGGCGTTTCAAAAGTATCTAAAAAAAGTGTCAAGGGAAGGGAAACCAGAATGGGGGCGCAAATTTCTTGTGGCAGTTACCCTTTATTTTGAAGCCAATAATTTTATTATTTCCTCTCCCAGAAAACTGTCTGTTTGGAAAACAAACAAACAAAAAGTTTCAACAATCCTTGCAGCAGTGTAGAAGAGCTCTCTATAAACATTATTCTTTTCTTCTTAAGCCTTCAGTATTGTGATAATGTTACATTTTTCAGAAAGTCACTATAATTCTGGTAATATTTATTTCTTCCCAGCTGTGGACTAGTGTTATTGTGGAGATGCATACTTTCTACTTTTCCCATCATTGCTTTAGTGTTGAACATGCTATCTTAGTTTCCCACATCAGAAGGGCACCACTTCTCTCAAAATACAATATCCAAATGCTTAGCTTCCAGTTAAGCTATAAGCTTCTATGATATCTGTACAATCTAAATCTCCCCCTAGTTTGAATTAACAGGAAACTCAGTTTAAAGCTAGAACATATAGCATGAAAGAAGAATTCTGTACAAATCAAGCAATAATTTGGATGGCCTCAGGAAAAGCAATTTGCATTTGTCCCATTGGTTCTGCTAACATCATCACCTCTGCCTCCATTAAGGCCACCATGTCTTACCTCATGTAGCAAACTTGTTAGCATAAATTTTAACTCCTATATCAAAAAAGCACAATAAGTTTCAGTTAAAATTGATAAAATTTAATACACAGTGATAAAAATATTTGATAATTTTCTCCTCATGAGTGGTGGGAATAGTTATTTTGAAAATTGTATATAAACTGAGTGTGTATGCTTTAATTGAGAAAATGCTAAACAACAGCACTGTATCTAATAAACTCAGGCAGAATCTGTATTAGATCCATCACCAGTAACCGTATTTGCATGTCAACCTGAGCCTATTCTTGGGATGCTCACTTTCATTATCCACACTTTTCTTGGGATTTCTCTAGAGCAAGACAAAGTGTTTGTCCAAAAGCAAAAGCAGTAATGTCTTATAAATTAAGTCCTGGTGCCTAAGCAAAATGTAGACTCTGTCTCCTGGGTGTGCCGCTAGCTGGTCCAATGCGTGCAGTCCATCAGGTCTTAGAACCATTCTAGCCCATTGTAAATTAGGACCAAGTCTATCTTATTTGCTGCTGAGTTTTCAGTGCTTACACAGTACCTGGGATGTAGCAGGGATTTCATAAATATTAGATGAATAAATAAATGAATGTTCAAGCTTAATAAGTACTCAAAAGAGACTAGGGTATTTTACTATCTGCCTTCCTGTTTGAAGAGCAAAGCTACGCCATGAAAATCTCACTTCTGCCTCAGTGAATCAATTGCATTTCTTCTCTCTGTATAGGGCAATTTGCCCGCCTGGATAGAGCCTTTTCTTATTTGTAGTACTGCCCAGTATATTTGCTTTTATCTTAGAATATTTTGTACTCCTCTCTTTCAAATGGAAAATAGTTACTTACGACTGAAATCTTTACCTCCTTTATGCAATGTAAAATCTATATAAGTTTACTGCTTGCCATTCCTTTGACGTTTTGATGTTGTGTGTAGGAAGGACTCACATTGCTTTTAGGATTATATCCCAGGACAAAATGTAGGGAGGATGCTCTTCCAGATGGTGACCTTTTAAGGGATGATTGCTAGTGCCAAATATTTTAGCACATCAAAAAAATAAAAGGAAGCACTCTGGATGAGACCTCATGGATAAATAGGGAAAGCTCACCCTATGCACCTCCTTCTATAATAGCCTTACTATTTATTATGGGATATGAGTTCTTATAATTATGAGAAAGGATTGTGTAAAGTTGAAGAAATCATAGGTAATGTTTCAATAGAAGGAGAGTTTTGGAAATATCTATTGAAAAAGTTAATTGTTATGATTGAGACATGGAAAAATTTTGTCATTGAGGCTGGTATGCATTGATTTTCAATAAGGTCTATAAAACTTTTTCAAATCAGACCACTCTATTTATATTTTGATATCCTGTTGACTCTAGGGAAGGAATATGACTATGGGAGTGTGGAGTTATTGAAGCTTGGGACTGGAGAAATATGCATAGTTGTTGAAAGTAGCTTTGAGGTGACTGCATTTTTGAAAGCTGATCAAATAGAGCCAAGTTTTATATACTTAACTTACACAAAATCAACTATATATGCTCAGGAGATAGAGAAACCACAATTCACATTTATAAAATGCAGTCATTCCCACTCAAAGCGAATCTGTTCTGAATGTTTAAGGTATGGTAGGATGCATGGTGCTTAACTATGTCTTGCCAGTCTCTATTTTCATGGCCTTCCTAGACTGTGAACATTTTGCCGAACTGAGTAATATGTAAAGTTGAAAATATGTGTATCTTGATTTCAGAATATCCACTATATGAAAGTCAGCTACTTCATCTCTTAACTCAACTGAACAAATTGTTTAGGTGCCAGGGGAAAACTCTCTTTGTTGGAGGTTTTAAGACACAATACTTTGGTCTTTAATCTGGCAGATTTTCTTAGCTAGTTGTGAATCTACTTACTTTTGGCTTACACACTAACTTCAAGGTTTTACCACCACATAAAATCTTACCACCTGGACATTTTTAGATAATTAGGTTCTCACAAGGCCTACTGCTTGTACAGTCCAGAAGGTATGTTTCACATTATGTTCAATGAAATGAAGTGGCCTGGAGGGTGCAGATGGCTGTACAATGAACATGATAAATCTGCTTGTCTTAATTAGGAGAGGTGATACCTGAAATATAATTTTAGAATTCATGTAGTTACTTATTACATATGTGTCAACCATCTATTATGTGTCAAGCAGTGTTCTGGACACTGAGACATTAAACATTTGTTGACGAGAACCTAGTAGCCATCTAATCAAGTTCCTAACTTATACTTGAATTCTCCACATGAATTCTCTAGTGATAGGAAAGTCACTTCCACAAGGAAAGTGACACTTCCATTGAATTGAAGCAAAACTTTATTTGGATTATCATTCTAATTTTGCCCTTAGAAACATAAATACTCGTAATTCCTGTACATTCTTATAACCCTAAAATATTTGAAGAACTTTTCTCATTTCTCCTCTTCTCCTTTTGACCCCCAAATCTTGTCATTTTTAAGGTAAATATATTCTGCCAGAAATATTTTATGTGTCAGTGTTTCTAGTCTATTCCTATCTTGAACAATGTCTCTCTTACAGTTTCTCATCATCCCTGACCTAAATTTTGGGCCCAGAGCTAAGCCCATTACAACTGAGATAAACTGAGCCAGTTGAGTGAGATTCTCATACAACATATTTGAGAAGTTTTGGTCAAAATCTACCATAAACTCAGATTACACGCTCTCATTTTACTTACACAGAATTTAAAAATGGCCACAGGACCTTCTGGGGAATATTTATTACATTTTGATCAGCTGCCTTTAGTCTTCTCCTTTTTTTGGGAATGTTGACTTATTATATAGTATATAATCTCCATATATTAAACAATATAAAGACTTTTGAAGCAAATTTAATTAAAGCCATTAGTTCCCATAGTCACCTGGAGTAGTATCTTTCTTGTTTATTTATCTTTTTCCCAGAACAATGATACTAGATGTACAGGTACATGTGTACTAAAATCATGAAGATAAATATCTGTATTGAAGATCTGATCAGATGATTATTAAAAATATATATTGGTATTTGAATGATTTTAAAACAGATTTTTGTTGAAAATATGACTTAAGATAACTTTTCTTATTATGAGTTTAATTTAAAAGATTTTGAAAATATTACTTCTAAACTCAGATTTTCATAGGTTATCATAATTACAGTTAGTAAGCTAATTATTACTAAAAATTAAAAATATCTTAAATCACATATATTTTCTATTACAAATTATTAAAATATTAGAAATTTCCTTTGATAAATCATTTTATACATATTTGTATACATAGTATGCAAATCATATATCATTTATATAATTTTCCTTTTTTGTTCACATATGAAATTTAACATGTTAAAATATAGCAAGTAAAATATGTCCTGCTATGATGATATTACTGAGAAAAATATTGTTGAGATTTTTAGATGGGAAAATGTTTTTCCTTTAATTGCTTACATAGTGTTATTTATTTTTATATAATTACATTTTATAGATAATGCCACATGCTTTGTCCACACAATGCCAAAACATCTGGTTGAAAAGTGGAAAGTATCGTAACAAACCCAGATGGTTTGTAAATACAAGGCCAAATATCCAGATGGAGTGAAGAAGGCAGAGCATCTGGATAGCAAATATCAAATCTTTCATTCAGATGTCATGGCATCATGTAGACACAGTGTATCAATAAACTCTTTTTAGTGAAGAGGGAGTATGTGAAATCAACTAGAGCTCAAAAAGAAAGAGGACAAATTTATGAATAAAGGATATAGTTAACATTAAATCAATTTTGAGCTTTTAGTAAAAGTAATTTAGAATTGTTTGATTTAAAGAGAATCTAAGCAAAAAAGATTCAGCTTATTAGATTCACCTTTTAATTGCAATTATGATTACTGACTTTTTTGATTTGGGAGAATTTTCAATACAGCTCATGTGTGCAATAAATGGGCTCAATTAAAAATTGTATTTGATTCCTATTAAAAGTTTCTTGATCTTTAATATTACAATATACTGCAATCCAGAACTGCATCTAGCATGCCACTTTCAATAAACAGACTTCTTTGCTATCTCCAAATAATTAACTTTATCTTTGTCACAGGGAACAAAAGTAATGAAAGCAGCATAGACATTATTCATTTATTCTTAGTATGAGGATCTTATCATTTGAGCCTGTCTCCTCATAGTAACCTCTTGTGTGGTGTCTCCTACACTTTACATGAAGTAATTTCTGGCAGAAGGCTTCACAGTTTCAATATGATTCCATCTCAAGCCCTGAAAGACATATGAGAAGGAGAGTCAATATTCAACAGAAGACATATTATTTAAATAATCATTTACTGTACGTGTATTCTTTCTAAAGCAAAGGGACGAGTAAAGTATAGAACAAATTTCCTATGTCTCAGAAAGTTTCTATAAAATGTGAACTTGTTCATCCCCGAAAAAATCCTGTTTCCATCACAGTAGCCCATTTGCAGGGTGACAGCCTTTATATCTACTGCAGAAAGAGCTTAATATCTTAGAGCTCTTTTATTGGTATTAACTTTAGAGTTTTATACATTCCATTGGAAAAACTGTTCCACTGCTTTATAAGTGACCTAAATTGAATTGTGTCCCTCAAAAGAGATATGTTAAAGTCCCTACCTTTAGTACCTCAGAGTGTGAACTTATTTGGAAACAGAGTTCTGTTTTTTTGTTTTTTTGTTTTTTGTTTTTTTTTAATAACAGGATCAGGGATCAGACTACCTTATGTGTCAGTTAATAAAACACTGAGTAAATTCAGGTGATTGAGTACTTACCATCACTTAGTAAGTCACAATCAATATGAAAGAAGCATAAAACATGAACCTTGCCACAGAGTTGCTCTTTCTTTTTAATATTGAATAAAGTTACAGTCATATTGGTAAGCAATTAAAATCACCTAGAAACTTTTATAGAGGGAACAGAGAGAAGATGGGACTTGATGAAGACCAAGGATTAACAGGTTCTGAGTTGAGTAGAGGAAGGAGGAAGGGTGTTTCTGGCAAGAGAAAGCATTCACAAAAGCTCTGAGGAGTCAGGAGAGAAGAAAGAGATGTTTACCTTTTAAGTATTGAGTAACGATAAGGCTATCCATGGTGAAGATGTTGTCTACTGGGGAATAATGCGAGACACAAAACCTATTGGTAAAATTATGAAGACAATGGGAGGGTCTAAGGCTGGGCAGAATGAATGATGCAGAAAGAGTGTGAAATGAAGAAATTATAAAGTCAAACTGCTATTACAAATATTAGTCATCCACTCTCACACAGCCTTTTGTGAAAGAATTGATTGAGATAAGAAGAAATGGAAGGCAGACTAATTAATTACACTCTCTACTTACAACTGAGTGGTGAAGCAAATATGAAAAATATCCTGAAGGAAACTGACATTGAGGAAGGTATAGATGAGGGCCTCATCTTCTAGAGAGAAAATAAACAGCAACCAAGTTTCTATGGGCCACATATCAGGCTTTAAGCAGCTCTGGGTTTCTCTGGAAGATAGCATGTACCCTGGCAGGTTGCAGACCTCAGGATATTTGCCCTGGAAAATAATCTGGTCTAGAAAAGATGAGCTGATCTCACTTCCATGAGTGTAAGTGTTCTGTTGGTGTGGTGAGTTAGAGCTGGAAGATAAATGTGTGATTTGCACAAGAGGCTTTTCACTTGGGCAGAAATGCATTAGTAGAGCTAAGATGCAAGCAAGACTCAATTAGGGCTAGATCACTCTTGCCATTGTTGTTCCAGATCCTTCACTCGCTTAATCTCTGAGGATCGAGAACTCTTAAAAGCCTTGAGGAGCTACAGTGTCATTCTTTTTTTTTTTTCTCCTTGTCTTTTGTTTTATTTTACTTTATGTTCTGGGTACATGTGCTGAAAGTGCAACTTTGTTACATAGGTATACATGTGCCATGGTGGTTTGCTGCACCTATCAACCCATCATCTAGGTTTTAAGCCCTGCATGCATTAGGTATTTATCCTAATGCTCTCTACCGCCTTTCCCCCAACCCCAAACAGGCACTGGTGTGTGATTTTCCCCTCCCTGTGTCCATGTGTTCTCATTGTTCAACTCCCACTTATGAGTGAGAACACGTGGAGTTTGGTTTTCTGTTCCTGTGTTAGTTTGCTGAAGATGATGGTTTCCAACTTCATCCACGTCCCTGCAAAGGACATGAACTCATCCATTTTTATGGCTGCATAGTAGTCCATGGTGTGTATGTGCCACATTTTCTTTATCCAATCTATCATTGATGGGCATTTTGGTTGGTTCCGAGTCTTTTCTATGGTGAATAGTGCTTCAATAAAAATACGTGTGCTTTTGTTTTTATAGTAGAATGATTTATAATCCATTGGGTATATAACTAGTAATGAGATTGCTGGGTCAAATGGCAGTGAGGAATCGCCACACTGTCTTCCACAATGGTTGAACTAATTTACACTCCCACCAACAGTGTAAAAGCATTTCTAG
The DNA here is from genome assembly GCF_000001405.40 of Homo sapiens. NCBI lineage: Eukaryota > Metazoa > Chordata > Mammalia > Primates > Hominidae > Homo > Homo sapiens. The sequence continues at coordinate 91,825,088 of NC_000006.12, read as the reverse complement.
TTCTCCACATCCTCACCAGGATCTGTTGTTTCCAGACTTTTTAATGATAGCCATTCTAACTGGCATGAGATGGTATCTCACTGTGGTTTTGATTTCCATTTCTCTAATGACCAGTGATGATGAGCTTTTTTTCATATGTTTGTTTACCACATAAATATATTCTTTAGAGAAGTGTCTGTTCATATTCTTCACCCACTTTTTGATTAGATTATTTGATTTTTTTCTTGTAAATTTGTAAGTTCCTTGTAGATTCTGGATATTAGCCCTTTGTAAGATGGATAGATTGCAAAAATTTTCTCCCATTCTGTAGGTTGCCTGTTTACCCGGGTGATAGTTTCTTTTGCTGAGCAGAAGCAGTGTCATTCTTAAAATGATCATACACTGTGGGGATTCTTCAAGTGTAACATGTGTAAGCTGAAGCAGAAAAGGAAGATCATGGTGACTATTGTCTGGGAATAGAAATGAACTAGATTCAGAAGGTCTGAGACACACACCTTGGGGATATCTAGAAATACATATGGAGGAGGAGTGGTTTGGCAGGAATGATCTCACTTATGTGATAGTGGGATGAATGTTCAGAAGCAGAATCCAGGAATTATTGTGGTCAGGACTATATATAGAACTAGTGGAAGTAGGACACTTAGCTTATATAATTAATTATTCAAGGAGGACTGTGATAACATGCCTGGTAAAAAAGGCACAGGAGTGCAAAGTGTGGCTTTGCCTGCAGCAATCAGAGAAGCCATCAAGGAGAAGGTAATATTTAATCTGAGATTTGAAGGACATTAATAATTGAATGATCAATTTTTGATGTGGACTCATGTAACAGAAAACAAAAACCAAAAGAATAAGGCATCAGGGAGTTATATAATATTGGCATTTGTATAATTTTATCTTTACTATTATTTCTATACTAGGGTATAATTTATTACCATGGGCAAATATTTAATCCACCATTAATTAATTTTAGGTACATTTATTGATTAGTCTACTATGTGCAAGTACTATGTTTTGGATAAGAGATATTAAGCTATGTAAATTTAGAACTGTTAAGAAAAGCCCAATTGAATTGAGTATTTATATATCAGAATTATGATCCAGAAATATGACAGCTTAATATACAATTGATTAAGCAAGGAGAAACCAATGTTGTGGATACTAATTTGGAGAAATAATTATGTAGTCAAAAATAAGATAAACTAAAACAAAGAAGAAGAAACAATTAAAATAGAGAGTACTTGGTGAAGGAAATGCTTGGAAAGATGCATTAGAGATGAATTTGGTAAATCCTAGAAACATTTAAATGTTCTGAGGGAGAGAAGGCCAATGATTTTCAGCTTTCAGGACTTAGACAGTGAGAGCACAAGGGTATATGAAACAAACAATGAAAGTAGGAGAAATCGCTTCTGATGTAGGAGAGGGTACTATTTTGACCTTGCGTATGATGAGTTTAAGGTCCAATTTTTATAAGAAAGGTTAAGTTATAAATCATAAAAATATAACCAATAATTAATGATTGGTTTGGGCACATGCAATAGAGAACTAAATAGTTAACCCATAATAATAGGTGAGCTCCCCATTGCAAGAATTAAATTTTTACCTTAAAGTAGAATGAAGCAAAGCATATATCAAACCTAATCTATTGTGTCTACATATTAAAACTAATAAATGCTCAATTATAGAGAATGTAGGCAAATATATCTAATTATATTTAGTTTATACCCTGAAGTAAAATCACTCCTTTTTCTTACTTTAGTTGATTCCATCAATATTTAACAACTTTCTATTCACCTTAATAATTTCATCTTGTTTAAGGAAAATGTGCTGTGATTCAATTACATAAGCAGTCTCATTAATTAATCTTTGTATATATGAATTATTAATGTTTGTATAGAAATGTATTAAGATTACAAATGTTATAGAATATTGCCCTGGTACATAATAAAAGCATGAGGTGGGAAATATAAACATAACTAATGGGTACTAGGTTTAATACCTGGGTGATGAAATAATCTGTACAACAAATCCCCGCAAAACTATGTAACAAACCTCAACACGTACCCCTGAATTTAAAATTAAAGAAATGAAATCTGAAAAAGAGAAAGAAAAATAAATTTCATTTCAATAATTCAAATCTTTTTTTCAAATTTAGGAGTATTGTAGAATTCTACAATGCCAAACTCATTGATCTGGTTTGACTGTCTAGTTAATGTAACACTTAAGTAAATGACTCTATGTTCTTCTATATAAATCAAACTGACAGTCTGAAATGTAGCATGTCCCTATGGACTTAACTAAGTCCAGTGAGATGAATCACTGGAAGGCACTCTACTCTTTGATTTGTGCCAATTCATTAAAGTAATACTAAAGGATATATAGCAAAATGATGAAAAAAACCCTAAAAGTTTTAGAGATGACTCAGATTGAATAAGTCAAAGTTCAAAGTTGCCTAGAATCATAATAAAGCATTTCTGACTCTATTCTTTTCAGAAGATATTTGAGAAAGCAATAGATGATTTACTTAATATAAAATACAACCTTATTTTAAATTATTAGGGGGAAGTTTTAGCATTATTTTTAAATATATTATTCATTTATCTATTGAAACTTCTAGTTGAGAAAACCTTAATTTCCTTTTTAATTCAAAGAAGACTATGAAACAGAAAAAGGGCAAAAGGTATCAGAAGAGTTTTCTTTATTTAAATATCCATAATGATAAGCAGAATATTAAAGACTTGAAAAGTATAATTAGGCCAAATGTCAGGTTCTATTTTATGTCAGAATAATGTGACTTTTGTAATGAAGTTCACCATGAGCTCCTTGCTCTCAAAGATCTGGATTAATTTGTTCTGTGTTTGAGTAAAAACTTTGGTGGCTTTGTGTGTGTGTGTGTGTGTGTGTGTGTGTGTGTGTGTGTGTACTTGTTCATAAATTGTTAACAGAAACTTAATTTTATACTTTTGTGGAAAAGTCAATAATTGTCTCATTCCTTAAATAATGTAACCAATTTTCCTAGCACAGTGATTCCTTTGTTCATTGGAAATGTCATTGAAACATGGTATCAGAAGCAAACATATTGAAACAGTCATGATTTCCTATACCAGAGACCATGAGGATAGAAAGGGCATACTGCTAAAAAATATTTTTCAGCATCTAATTTCCAAAATTCTCAACTGTTACATACTAATTTGATTAATAAATATTTATTCTAGTCAGAAAAAGAAAGCCATACACTTTATTTATAGTGTTATAATCCTAAATGAATGAGACTATTTGGTATAGCTATCACTATTAGGACAAGGCCAAATATTTTAGACTGTAATGAGAAATGTTAAAGAAATAATGTAGAATAGGCACGGGAGATAATTGTTACCTGTTAAAACAATCAGAAAACAAAAACGAAAACTAAATGAGTCTTCTATTCTGAAGTGAATGTTACTCAAGACTTTCCCATTTTGAAATTGCATGAATATTTTGGGAAGAAAAGAGAGAAGGAGGATTGTCAAATCCAACAATAGAAGCTATTCTTTCAATAATTGGAGCTACAGAATTGGGAAATCAATAAAAGTGCATTACCACATCCTCATCTGATACAATATGGAGACTGATTGTCCAACAGTGGATTACTCAGACACTTAACTTTTTTCTGCCTCTTACCCCATTTCACTACTTGTTACCATCCTGGGGCAGGAAAAACGCATAGAAGGGATTTAGTCAATTAATCCTCTGTTCAAAATTTTGGTAAAAGATTTGGTGAAACTCCAAGACTTTATCACATTGTGATTGCAAATGCCAGATAAGGGGCTTCTAACCACTGGCAGTGTCAGCTGAGACCTGGAAATATCAGTCATAGCATGCCTCCTGCTAGATTGATGTGCTGTGGGGTAAGGATGGGAAGGAGCATCCACTGTGAACTATCATCCCATTAACTGGAAATTTTATTCAGGACGATAGGCTCATTTATTTTATAAAATAATATTATGAAAAAGGTCCACTTTTAGTTTTATATTTCTATATTAGTAACAGGCACTTTGTAAGTATTAAATTAATATCTATCAACTTAAATTGATTAATGAAATTATATAATGTTTATTTGCATTATTTTTAAGTGATTTATAAACTAGTACAGAAAATAATAATTCATAATTCATTAAGTACATTCCTCCCTGAGGGGTTGTGCAGAAATTTTCCTGAGAAGAAACTGGGAGCCTGGTAGATCAGGTATTATATGTTGGTGGCAGACAAGTAGGAATAGTACAAACGTAGAATTCCAAACTGTATATGTTTAGGGTAAATAGATACACATGTAAAGAGAATTACCCTGTCAGAAAGGAGACACAGGAGTGGTTTGGGATGAGGGAGTTAAGTCTTGACAATGTACCTCAATCCATGTTGGAGACTAAAATCAACTGAACCCCACCATTATCCCTCAGAGGGTGAAGTATGAAAAAGGAATTTAAAATCTGTGAGTTGTTTTCCCAAAGATGTTTACCTTGCTAGGACACAAAGTTATGCAAAAGTGTGAGACAATAGCTTTACTAGAGAGTTTCATTAGCTGTCCCAAACAGAAAGATACCCAAAGTCCAGGAAAGACACAGCCATAGCATGGGGCCCTGAGACAGTTGGATAGAGCACCTTTGCCATCCTGTTAAGGAGAGGTAAGGTGTATGTCTAACCAGGGCTCATGGTGCCACACCAGTTTGGCAATTGACACACAAAAAAAGGTGTCAATAAAAGCAGCAGTATGATAGCACAAATGGTGCAGTGGCAGCATCAGGGCAGTTGAGATGTGGCAACCTTTAAGGGAAAACAAATAATAAAATAATGCCTATGAGATAACTGGGATTACTGGGACATTGTCTCAAGCTAAGACATTTGGACATATTTATATCCATTCTGATAAATAATAATGATGGATAAGGTAGGGGTGTCTGTTTCTCTACCACAACACCAAATGCATAAGTTTCGTATTCTGGAAAACGGAGCTATGTAGAGTTATAGTTTGCAACCTGGGGAGTTGTGGGTTCTAATGTTACTCTGTTGGATACTTGGTCAGATTTGTTTCCATTGTTACATTACTGAAATTTCACTGAAGTTCTATATCCAGAATGATGGCCAGGGAAACCCTTTGGCTAATTCACAGCTCTGGCTTATAATCACAAAGGACTAAGTCTGTCCATCCTAAGTTTTTGGAAGCAAAGATATATTTAATTCATTATGCATTTTATCTAGTAATCTAAAGAGTTTAGCATTTTGGGAATACTACCAGTGTTTGTGTTTATGTGAAATTTAGATGTTGAAAGCAACTTAAAATAAAAATATGCAATGTTAGAAATTATTTCCACCAAGAAAATCCTGCTAATTCACAGCCTTTAATGATAACTATCTTCAAAGAGAAAAAATATAAATACCTTTATGCTACTCAACATATAAAAGATACAAAGCTGAAAAGGAGTCTGAAAACTTAGCTTGTTTTTGTTTTTGCTTCTAGATTTTCTGCATTGAACCATTGCAAACAGATGGCGATTTATAATGTTTGGTGACCTCCAGAGAAAGGGATTCCAAAGCTTCTGAAGGTTAGACTGTATAATGTGATCTTTGTGTTTATTATCTTTGTAGGAGACTAAAAATTTTATTCCATATATTGTCCTTCCATTATACAAAATTTGTAACTGTAAATTTACTTCCTAGTTTATAAGAAATATTAACTTATTCACTTGTAAAATATAATCCTACAAATTATATTATTCCCATGTTATATAAGACAAAAATTAAAATTTGAATGCTTTTCCCACGATCCTATAGAGAGTAAGGGGCAAAGCCAGAATTCCAGTTGAGGCCATCTGATTTTAAATCTGGTGTTCTCCACTATTGTAAACTTTTTCTGCTTCTCTATGGACATGAACACAATTTACAGCATGACTTCATTGATTCCTGGATTTGGGGTTGTTTTATATTGGAAGCCAGTAACTTAATCTGCCAAAAATGGAGGTCCCCATGGGCCATTCATTTAAAAAATAAATGTGTCAAAACAGAATCAGAAAATTGAAGTGGGAAAGCTCCTCAAATCTTCTGCAAGAGAGGTAATTTCAAAACAATTTTGGTTTTCTCTTTTATTTAATATATGCTTTCTGTCTCTCTTTTCTGCATGTATACATAACTTCAGTGACCAATGTCTTTATAGTCCACCATGCTTCTTGTGCTAGGTGAATTGTCCACTAGGCTTAATTTCTTGACCTTCAGTAATTTTCTTGACTTTCTTCAAAATTCCTGGTTTTCCTGGCTACTTTATGACTGTGGAGTCTGAAAAATAGATAAAGTACAAATAAAAGCTGAACAGGTCAAGTTCTAAATGCCTGGTTTATTTTCAGGATATCTGCATGTTTGATGCTTTTCATGGTCCGGTTGTCCACCAAGACCCATACTATTTATAATATGAATGACATTTGAGTAAACAACAAACATTTAGTAATTATTTTGAATTAGAAAATATTCAACTAAAATGTATTGTTGGTAGTATTAAAGAAGATACAAGATAAATTCTGAGTACAAACATATGTACAAGTATATCCACAGAAAAACACTAGGCTCAATGCCAAAAAAAAAAAAAAGGCTAAATATTATCCAACAGAAGGTAACAGAAGCACAGAATGAATGGTAGAAAGTGGGTTGTCGGGGGTTAGTTTGGTGGGAAGAAAAAATAGATCTTAGATGTAATAATCACTCAGCTCTTACCCTTGTAGCTCAACTTAAAAGGAGAGTTTGTGTGGTGGCTCTGCTGACTTAATTCTGCTTGAACTAGCGTAGTGGGAGTCAGAGTTAGGGCTTCATACCCAATCAGAGACTCAGCAGCTGTTACAATATCTAAAGCAAGTCCAAGAGAAGATATTCTTACTGGGACACATGGTACGAAATGCTCTACAAGGAACAAGCCCTTTTCTCTTTAACATCTGTACCTCCACATGATTAGCATGAATACCACATTGTCATTTTCTTTGCCAGAATTAAATGTTCCTAATAAGATCTGTTTTCAATTTAATAGTAAACTTTCAGTCTACTTAACTACAACATAAAGCTCATAATTAAAAGTGGCTTCTGATATTCTTACATCACTCCAACTGTGCTTACAAGTTAATTATAATAATGTGAATTAAAAATGAAAGATAATCTAATCAAACAATAGTTGTGATTAATGAATTGAACACAAATTCCCAGAAGTCTCCTATACATACCAACTATGATATCACCACCTATGTGCAAATATGTATCTATATATACATACACACATATATATACACACATATACACACACTAGTATACCTATGCTGTTTTTAAATGTTTGCTTATAATTACAGTAATGACCTAGGAGTGAGACATGGCTTGAGGGTTAATGACTGGCAGGGAAAATGCATCTGGCCATTAACCCCAAATAAATATGCTTTCATAATTATTTCAAATACTTCACAAGCATATATAGAGTGTAACAAAACCTTCAATGTTATCTAGGTCAATGTCTGTCCCTCTCTTGAATGTTACCAAATTTATTAAATTATGTGAAATAGTTGTTAGAGATGTATTGTGAAACTTTGTAATTAAAATGTTTTGGTGATATGATAAATACTAAAGATATATTGTAAATGTTCTTCCAAAAATGAATAAAACTAAAGCCAATACAAAAAGGTGAAGTAGATAAATATCAAACTGATGAGCAAATTAATAAATTGGGAAAGAGTTCTTAGAAAACCACTCAAAATAAAACATCATAAATATAAAGTTATAGAAAATATGAAAAGTGAGTCAAGATAAATGTATCATAGATTAAAAAAAGGTATAAGTGTAAGAGAAAAAAACAGCAGAAAGAGATACTTAATTAGAAAATTTCTGATAATTTTCTAGAGGTGAACATTGAAAAACAAGATCAAAGATGAAAGGTAAAAATCTGGAAAGGGTAACTAGAAACAAATTCACAAGTACTTGTGAAGTTGCAGAACACTAAAGAAAGAAGAAAAATGTCTCAAAGGAAAAAAGTCAGATGGGCTAGGTAGGCAAGACAATTAGAACGCTATACTTTTCAACATCAATAATAAATGCCAGAAGACAATGAAAATACCTTTAATATGCTGAAGTATTAAAGGTCAACTAAAATCTTAAACGCAGATAAACTAGCATTTAAAATAAAGGTAAAGTAAATTCATTTCTAAACATTAAAAAATGGATATTTTACCACTCACAGACCCTCCCTGAAAGAACTACTAAGGGAGGATGAAGAAATGAGCGTAAAACTGAAACCAAAAAAAAAAAAAAAAAAAAAGGAGAATACAAGAAACACACTTGAACAAAGATACAGAAGAACAAACACACAGATAAACATGTTTTTCAATAGGACTACCAAATATAAAAAGAGAAATTATGACCACCTGTGAGAGTTTTCAAATCAGCTGGAGGCCGCCGGCCCTGGCCAGCTCGCGCTCCCTTCCTGCGTAGCCCTCCGTCAGTTCTCTCGTGAGTCCATGGTCTCCAGTTCAGTTATCAGCCCTGCTTTCCCAGCTTGCGACTTGCGGACAGGCGTCCTGGGCACGAAGAGACTGGACTCGGATTCGTCGCCCGAATCTGTCCTCTGAGAAGTTCAAGGTACTTCGTACAATTTCAGCCACCCAGGCCAGTGTCCTCCAGCAATGGTTCCCGTCCAGAAGAAGCTGGTAATTGTCGGTGACAGAGTCTGTGGCAAGACATGCTTGCTCATTGTCTTCAGCAAGGACCAGTTCCCAGAGGGGTGAGCACCCTCAGGGTTTCAGAACTATGTGGCCCATATCGAGGTGGATGGGAAAGTGTAGAGCTGACTTTGTGGGACACAGCCAGGCAGGAAGATTAGGATCGCCTGAGGCCCCTCTTTTACTCGGACACTGATGTTATGTGTTCTCCGTTGACAACCCTGAGAGTTTAGAAAACATCCCAGAGAAATGGAGCCCAGAAGTCAAGCATTTCTGTCCCAACGTGCCCACCAGCCTGGTTGGGAACAAGAAGGATCTTCGGAATGATGTGCACACAAGGTGGGAGCTAGCCAGGATGAAGCAGAAGAGGGTGAGACTCGAAGAGGGCAGAGATATGGTCAAGGGAATTGGCTCTTTGGGGTACATGAAGTGTTCAGCAAAGACCAAAGATGGAGTGAGAGAGGTTTTTGAAGTGGCTGCGAAAGCTACTCTGCAAGCCAGATGTGGGAAGAAAAACTCTGGGTGCCTTGTCTTGTGAAACAGTGCTTAAGAGGTGAATTTTGAAGTGCTGTTGGTTAGTCTTAGTGGATGAACACTGGCCTTTATCACTTATATACAGTTTACCTAAGATTACAAATTTAAGGCATGCCATCTTGTTACCAGTATTTAGAAACCAACCCTGATTCTTAATGATGTCAAATCCGTCAGGCCTACCAGGATCCTTTTACCACTACTCTTAACAACCCTCCTCTACACTTCTGCCTGACGCACCACGGCAAATTCAAAGAATTTCTTAACTTCTTGCTTCTGTCTTGAAAGAGAAACAGCTGGTAACTTTGCAAATTAGGCTGCAACTACTTTATAACTAACGTTCCCTGCCTATCATCTGTCAACAGCAAGGTACTCTGGTGAGACACAACTTCAGTGCTTTACTCCTTAACAGGCTTCATTGGCATAGCTCTGGGACAGGCATCTGGTCTTTTGAAAATGGGTTCTACAAGGAAGGCCCAAGTCCATGCAGCTGTGGCACAGTTACAGTTCTGTGGTTTCATGTTAGTTACCTTAGAGTTACTGTGTAATTAGTGCCACTTAATGTACATTACCAAAATAAATATATCTACCCCAGACTGGATATAGTATTTTTTTATAATTGGATTTCCTAATATTGACATTTGTTATCCCCAAAGACAGTGTATTGCTTGTTAAAAAATAAATGTGTTTGGAAATGTCAAATGGAAAATTCATTTTTAAATAAATAAATACTAAAATAAAATAAGGTCCAAGAAAAATACTAATGGAAATATAAGAATAAACATGGATTTTTCGGGTAATGTAGTCTAAGTTTCTCATATAGCTCAAAAATCTTAGAGATAAAACCAATGAAAGAGCAAAAATTTAAAAATAAGAATTTCAAAGCAGTAAAAAAAATGATTAATAGAAATATGATTATTCCAATAAATATTAGAAAATAAATACAGGGAAAAGATTATATTCAGTAAAAACAAAAGAAAGTGATAGAAGGAAGTAAAATATAATAATTACAATAAGTTGCGAACAGGTTAAAATAAAATCTCCATAACATGGTAAGTGGTATAAAGAGATGTTTAGGCTATAAAGGTTATGACATAAAAAGGTTATCAAAGCCAGATGATGGAGTTGTTTCCTGCTACCTGAAATGAGCAACTATTACCAACAGTCAGAATATTTAGGGATAAAAAACTTGGTCATGATAAGGAATAATTTTGTAACAGTTGGGATTTTCTAAAGAAGGGAGTTTCTATTGAGGGAAATTCTTCAAGCCTAGGCTAGACAAATGTTAAGTAAAAGGTGAGAGTTTTATATATTGGTCTTTTTAATACCAAGATCTTCTCATGCCAGGGTTTTTCAGGTGTATAAAATAAAAACAAAATTCTGAATGTAGAATACTTTTTTTTACTCTGAAGCAGAATCAAGAAAAATATTTTAAGGATTTATTCTACTCATCATGGTATCCTACAGCCTTAGCACAGTGTGTGACACTTAACACAACTTCAATAAATAGTTCTTGAATTCAATTGAAAACCCTGGCAGATTTAATAGTTTTAGGAAAATAATAGAAAGCTAAAGAGGATAAAAGTATAGACTATCATAGTAGAAATAAACACAAAGTTATTAAACTTTATAAAATCCCATGCAGTGGGAAATATAAAGTGCATCTAGAAAATCATGAGTATTTTTCAAAATATACAAGAGAAAGAATAATTTTATCTGATGCATTTGGGTATGACCAACTATGATGGAATGTAATTCTAAACTGATAGTATTGTGTCTAGACAAGTGTTAGCTTTTTTAAAAAAGGAATTATTAAAAGTAATATTTTCCATTTTAAGAAATACATATTTTATAAGCAAACTACACCCAGATTAGCAAACCTATTGACTTCTCTATCCAGAGAGTGGACTGGGACTTCGGTTTTATTCTTCCATCCAGACAGGACCAAATACCTTCATTAAGAGGGGATTCACCGTAAGTACATTTATTGCAATAAATGTTCTTCCTGGCAGGACTTGGCTATGTGACAAGGGGTTTCCTCCATACACATCTTACAAAGTCAGTTTCTAAAAGCTATAAATTATTTTTGAGTTTTACTAAAATAAAGTAGTGCGATATTTGCCAGACATGACTTTATTTCATCTAGCCCACAGGAGCAAAGGAGATGAATTTTAGGTTTTATTTCAACATACTCAAATTAATTGCTGTTTCTTTGAATACATAGGGGATTTCCTCTCACAACCACATACCCATTCCCTATTTCGTGGTCATATGGAAAAAGATGGTTTCCTATACTGGTTCTTGCAAAAATATAATGATTGTTATTTACCTTTTTTATAGAAAACATGAAAGACATATAGACTTTACCTTAGTTTTAAGCTGCTAAAATTCTACTGGGATCACTAAGTCCTTACCTGATCCTTCAGATCTGAGGTCCATCAGCATTAACCGGCTTTAAAAGTTTATTTATAAACTGTGCTTTCCCTAGAAAGTATTTGTCAGTCTTCTTTGTACTACAGTGTTTCACAAACATGTCTGATCAAAAGAATCATATGGGGAGCTTGCAAAAAATCTGACTTGTGGATGTGTCCCCTGGAGATTGTGATTTGGTAGTTTAGGGAGGCCTAGGAATCTGTGTTTTTAAGTCTCCCCAAGTGACTCCTAAAATCAGACAAGGTTGAGAAACACTGACTCACTACATGTTGCTCCTTCAGCACTTCCTCTGCACACCATATGGTATTCTGCACCCCTAAAGGAGGTACACACTCTGAACGATGAGCTCATACCAGGAAGATAAACCCCAGAGCACTGTGACCCTTGCCCAAGAGTTCAGAAGAGATCAATGGCAGGATTTGTTTTGGCTGCATTTAGATAAAATTTATCCAATAATGGTATTAAAAACATCTGCTTTTTTTGAAGCAAATGTGGATGTAATAAAATAAGTGCTTTATTGCAGATGAAAAACTATGTGGAGATGTGAGAAAGGAAACTTGTAACTAAAAGAATAACTCTTAAAGCCACAGTCAAACTCTTGTGATTTAAGTCAGCCAGTTCAGGAAGAGGAGCACCAGTCTTAGGCCCTTTGCTATGCAGTTTCATGGAGCATGCAGGTCACTTTTCCCTTGGTTTTATATTACTTCTGGATTAATATCTTGCTTGCTCAATAATGCAAAGTGTTGGCTAATATTGTACCTGTTATACAGTACATGCTTTCAATGAATAGTTGTTGAACAAAAGAGGGGTGTGAAATAGAAGTTTTAGAAGTTAGACTAAAAGAAATAGTTTGCATTAAACATATTTTTAATTTACCTATTGATTTTAATTAAGGTCTTGCTGAGTTTGCAAATGCAAAGTGATTTTTCTAGAGGAAATATACTTTAAATCTTTCCCATATGTTTTTCATATTCTTAATGTATAAAATCAGAGTCCTAAAGATTACAATGCACACACTTAAATGATGGCTTGTTAAATCAGCCTGCATCTACCTGAGATGAAAAAAAGGTTATGAAATAGAAATAATGGATTGAGTTTTTGATATAAAAAGCAGAGACAATAGCTCTTCCAGTTAAGAATACAGAATTTTTCTTATGAAAGAAATGTTTTTATGATAGAAAAATATTTATTGAGCTTATGCCTCTCTTAGATCAATTTATGTCTTCCATGCAGTTTTGAAAACCTTTTTCTCTTTTTCTTTAAAATATAATTTCTTTCCAAGAAAGTCTCTTATTTACCTCAGAGAAAGAAAATCAATACTAGTGCAGAGAAAAAGAGACATTCTTATTTTCCATTTGGTTCCTTAAAATTACAGACATTATAATTAACATAAAATCATTACATACTGATTTTCATAATAGAAATCATGATGATCAAATTGGTACATTTTATAACCTCAAACTCAGAAAATTGCTAAGGTAGATATGTAGTTGGTTTTTTTAATTGGTATTTCACCAAAAGTAATTAATTATAGAATGTGTCATTTTCAGTAGCATTTTTTTTTTGCAAAATATCAGAGTTCCACAAAAGATTTAGTAGAAACCCGGCAGAACACAATATTCTGTCTTTATATACAAAATTAATGCTTCATCATTAGGAATTGTGCAGATTTCATAATTTTTGCTTAAGAGTATTATAATAACACTGATAAAATACCATTGTGTTAAATTAAACTACTCTGTTAAATGAGAGATGGATGGAGGAGATAATTGTAGACAGACAGACAATAATGATTAGGACATAAGGGCATAGAAGAAAATATACTTAATAATACATGTGAAAAGCTAAATAGGCTTATAGCTGTCCAATCCCAAAATACTAGATTTAGGTTCTATATCTTTAAGCTGGAAAGAAACCTGGGGGCATAGAACTTAAAAAATAAGAAAGACTTAGGAACAATATAAAGAAAAATTAAAATAGTACTTTTCTGCTAAGTTGTAAATGAATGTAACTTAATACCTCCAGGAAGTGGTATAGTTTAGAAATACAGTACAAGGAGATTCAAAAAAACACTGAAGAATTCATAATGGGTCCTTGCTGCAATTAATACACTTGAGATATATTTGGAGTGGGTATTGACAAGCAGGCCCTGCTACTGACCGTTAGCTGACACTGACATACTGGGTGGATTGAAGGACTGGCCTCTTATGATGCTCTTCATCTCATTCCTGCTCATTTGTTCTTTCTTCAAGCAGCAAAAACAGATGTAAGCCTTGCCGATCATACTTAAACAATTAACATCTAACATTCATGCTAACCAAAAATCTCAGGGAAAGAGTGAACAGTTTAGAATCTATGTATAATTTTTTGGATTTTTGTGAAAACATTTAAATAGCAAAACTAGGGAAAGTATGTTTGTTTCTTCTTGTGGGTTAGGTTGCTTGTCGTGGGTCTGCTTAGACTAGAGTAGAAAATAAATAAAGCTACATGCAGAAGTTGTGTTTTCAGAAGGTACAACAGTTATCTCAAGCTCTTGGTTAGTCAGCATAGCACACTGAAAAAGAAAGATAGGGAATTACCTGGCCACTTGGGTGCCTTTTTTCTGTGCTTGTCTGGGGGTATGCTTGCCTTTGATAATAGACACTTGTAAATACAAGTCATTGAAATGGTGGGAAGGTGAATACTGTGGCTCCAACGCTTTGAGAGGCTTTGATATTCAATGCGGTATCTTTATGTTGGAGAGTGGCTGAAGATCAAGGGCAATCAATCCTGATGCTTTCAAATTTATGGACATTTTGGCTGGAGGAGGGAATGGAAAAGATTTATCCTTCTGGAATATTTCAGGTCTACTCTGTCTCTTCTACTTCATTTTTGGATCCACATCCTAGTGGAATAGCAGAGAGGCTGTTTGCAGATGGATATGAGCTGCTGAGTCTAATTACCGCTACTCAATAACAAAAATTCCAAACAAACAAACAAACAAAAAGAATAAATTTCTTCATTTTTGGTCTACTCATATTTCTTTTTATTATAACCTTTGCTATTTTATCACCTAGAGTAAGTAATATATATTTCACCTGTAACTTATTATAAAATCACACCACTGAGAATCTAGGTCATATTTGTTATTATTAATACACTGTAAAAATGCCAAGCATTTTCTATTTGACCTTTTGCAACTCTCTCTCCACCACGCTTCCTATCTCTGTTCTATCTCCTTCACGTTGTCTCAAATGTGGGAAATAAATGTCTTTCTATGTCTTGTTAAAATTAATTCTTTCTTCTTTTCTAATTCTTAATGACCTTGGGCAGTCTTTTCTCATTTAAGAATAATATACACCTGTTTCAGGCTGTCACAGTCTCTCAGGCCTTTTTGTTAACTGCTGCTGCTACTTCATCTTATAAATTACCTCCTTCTCCCCAGAAAGTGGCATCTCCTTTGAATGAGCTTTCTCTCACCTACATCTTCCTTCCCCTTTTCCTCCCTCCATTGATCTTTTTCTCTTTGTATCCATGATTTCTTCCTTTCATAAAGTTTTCTTTATAAAAATGTCATTTTATAATCTAAATTGAAATTCAATTTACCCTCACAATTTTTTTAAATGGAAATTGATACATTTCCAAGTTGTCTAGAACTAAAGATATTCTAACAATAGAACAATAAACATAATAAACTTAAGAAATATTAACATATGAAATGACAAGTTCCTGAACTTTATACTAACACTTTGTAATAATTCATAAGTCCATAATAACAACCCAATAATTCATTTTTTAAAATTTCTATGTATCTAAAAACACCACTGTATCAGGAGATGTTACATGATTTCATTGGTTTATTGGTCTCTGGTAATATTTAACAGATTTCATAATTGTAAGAAATGATAAATTAGATTGAATCCAACACAAAATTTATAACCAACTAAACAAATAACCCACGCAAAGAAGAAAGTACAATACCAATTTGTATTATCTTTGTGCTTATTGATAGCTAGTATATTTTGGAGACAAAGCAAATTTTCCATGAAAGCTGAAGATTTAGCTTGGTACCTTATAATGGATTCATTAATGCTGGAGGAAAGAATTTATATAATTAAGTAACATTTTATTTACTCAAAGGAAACTAGTAAAACAAAACATATAGAATAAGTGGATGTTCTCTCTTGTTCACTGTTTATTAAGATTTTACACCAAATTACATAAAATTTGCTTCCGAATATCTATTGATAAATGAATTAATTGGCATTATACATAAAAATTAGAACTCTAGGGGAAAAATCCAGAATATATTAAAATAAAATTACTTAAGTCTTATAAGTGCTAGCTAACCTAACAATTAGGTTGCTTTGCATAACAAAAATATTGTTTTCCTAATAGTGTTTCCTCAGTAGAACTAGCAGGAGGGGCGGAGGGAAGAAATTCATGTTGGTATAACAGAAGAACTAAAGCTAAGGAACATCAAAGTAAAGCGAGTTGCCTCCTTGGTGATTGGGCTGGTTTAACCAATACTAGTTAACACATACGATTGCACATTTCATGGAACTGGAAACATTTCTTTCATGTGTTGAAAAATTTTCAGGAGACAGGATTTCAAATTAGTGACTATATTACCAAAAGAAGAAGTATTATTAAAGACCTGTATTATTCCAAATACATTAGACTAGTAAGACTAGTAAAGGTACACTATTTATATTCATTTTTAAAGTGTAAGATGATATAATTTGACTTATATTGCAATTTGTATAAATGAGTATGCCAAGCCTGGGCTGATCCCCTGCATTTTCAGTAACCAAAAGTCCCAAATAAGCTACTATGAAAAATAGTGTCTTGGAATTATAGTATTGTTAGAAACAATCTACATAGGTTGGCAGAACTTTGTAAGTTTTGTTGAATTAGTGAATGAGTAGGAAATTTAGGACACATCCAGTGTCTTCTGTCACTTAGGATTGGCTAATTTCCTGAACAAATGAGTCTAAACTTGACTTAATAAAACAAGAGAAATAGGTTGAAATATACATTTGGGATACTATTTCAATACCTGACACTTTTTCTGCAAGTTAAAGGCAAATTGTATAACTTGCAAAGTCTCAATTTCCCAATTTTTCAAGCAGACATGGTAACATTTGCAACCTATCAAAAGAGCTCAGGAAGGTTTAATGAGGTGACATATCTAAAATGTTATCTGAGAGAAAATATTTTTATTATCTCTGCAGATAATACCTCAGCTTGACTGGAGAAAAAAGATACTACAAGATATTATTGTATTATGATAAAGCAATGAACTACCACCTGCAGGAAATTGGCTTCATGAAAGGCAATGACAAAGAGCACAACAGGATTACATGAAATCAATCAGAGGCAGGCAGGAAGAACACAAGCCAGATGAAGTGGAGTCTTTCATGACAGGCAGGAGAATATATCAAAGCCATCCTTGCTAATTTCAAAAAGCCCACTCCCTCCTCTAGAGGTGAGAACATTACTTCAGACAGCATGCTGGCTCCACTGGACCTCTGTGAAGATGCTACGACTCCATTTGTGGGTTTCTTAAAGAATGATTTAGGAATGAAAAAGGCCAGCAAGCCTGAGCACTGTTAATTTAGATCATCCGTGGGAGACACTTGAGTGCAAACTTTTCCACATTTATTTCTCCATTAGGAACTTATTTGCAACAACTGAACCTTCACTTCTATATTTTAATTGCAAACTAATCTTCTTTTAATAATGCTCTCTTAAGTAATTTTCAAAGAAAATGCTAAGTAATTTATCTAAAAAGATACATCCTTACAAACAAAACAATAAAACAACTTATATAAAAGTAGATAATATCACCAAATAGGTACCCACAAAAATTAAAAATTGAATAAATAAGTAAATAAACAAATATTTTCTGTCTATTATTATTATTAAAAAAGTAGATGGTATCTATCCTTGAAAGACAGAGTGAAATTAGAAGGAGAAACAACAGTCAAACTGATGGGTATGATGGATGAGTCATGGTGAGATCTCCTTGAAGGCCAATATTTTTCAGAGGAAGAGCAGATGCTGTAAGAAAATCTGAATAAATGCTGTAATCCTAAGGTTACGTTCAGTAATGAATTCACATGTTCCAAGACCTGTAAGGATAAGTGAAAAGAGTATTCTGAGAAACCTCATGGTGTTCTCTGTGCTCAGACGAAGGCCTATACCATGAGTATTAGACACATATAAGCAGTTGTTAACAGTATGATACAGTATCATAGAACTATGTATAATTGGAAGTTTGATATCTATAAGGATGTTTTAAGTGGTTGCAGCTGTGATATTGACAGAGGAGCTAATATTGCCAGGGGTTCTAGGTAAGTAAGATGACAGTTTTTCACTTAAAAATTACCAAATTTCCTCCTGAAATAAATACCAGGGGGTAAATAAATTAACTAAATACATCAATTACATTTTTATCTATGCCTTCAAATTGATTCCTTTCTAGTAATAAAGATACTTTGAATTCAATTAAGGTTCAATGAAAATTTAGGGTAGTAAAATATTATTTTAATTAATTCACATACCTATGAAAGTTCAACTTAAATATTTTGGTTCAATTGCCAACAGTCTCTTTCTAAAGTTTGTTAAACAGAAAATAAAATATTTATATTTGTGAATCCAGAGTTAATGTAGCATTTATGAAACATTCAAAGAAAAAGCAAAAGTTCTCTCCTTTGCAGCATATTAATTGGAATCACATTTTTCAGGAAGAGTGTTCATAACAGACAAAAAAAGCAAAATTACTTCACATTTTTTATAAGGTCTTAGCTTATAAAACACTTCGTTCAAGAGAGAGCTAGCATACATCTTAGAAACAATCTCTTCGACTTTTCTCAATCCATATTCCAAGTTGTCCCTGAGCTGAGCTGAGATAGATTTAGACCACACTCTAGTTCACATAATAGCAATCTTTTTCAAATGTATAAGGGAAAAAAGAGCTAATGTATGAGTTTTCTCAATTTCATGTTTTCTCTCATATTTATTTTCTTTTCTGCTATTATTTGTCTTTTAGTAATATTAGTAAACAATAAATGATCAAGCGGCGATATAATAAATAACTTTATTAAAATGAATATGTGTTTTAAATATTTTGATTGTTTGTGGATTTTCTGATGTGGTGGCGACTTTACTTTGCTCACCTATAATAGAGTCATGTTATGTTAGGAAAAAGAGTTCCTATTTAGTGCTATTACCTAAAATATACTTTGAAGGCATGATTTTCCTTAAATGGAGACACAATTTTCAAGTATCCTATTACCTGGGTAAGCATAAAAGCTTTAAATGTGGTCTAATGTTGAGTTCTAGTAATGTCACAGAGGTGGTAAGTAGCACAATAAAATTAAAAACCCATCATCTGGCTTTGAGTACAAGATTTGTCTTATTCAATTAGTTGTTTGTATAGCAGGGATTTTGTTTTCATGAGGAAAGAAGACAAGAGAACAGCAGGGTTCTGAGTATTTCTGTGAGGCTGTTTTCGAATAGCATTTAAGTTGGTAGACTTCAAGTAAAGTATATTGCACTCTATTACATGGGTGGGTCGCATCAGTTGAAGGCCTTAATGCAATAAAAAGATTGCTCTTGAGCAACAGCAATTTTTCCAGAGACTTCCCTTGGACTTCCCCTTCAACATTTAAGCTTTCTGACTCTACAGTAAATTGTTTTAGGACTTGAATTAGAACATCGGCTCTCCTTGGCCTCTAGTCTGCTGGTCTTTGGACAGGAACTACATTCTCAGCTCTCCTGGATCTCCAGCCTGTTAGTCCACCCCACAGATTTTGGACTTGCTAGCCTCTAAAATTGGATGAACCAATTCTTTATAATACATTTCTTCACACACACAGACACACAGACACACACAGACACACGCACACACAGTCTATTGGTCTGTTTCTCTGGAGAATCTTGAGTAGAAGGATCGCCAATTTCTGTTTCTAGTTAAGTTGGAGTAACAGGACAAGGTAACAACAGCAACAAAATGAAACATTGGATTACAAGATAATATCAGTAGACATCAGGCAATGAAAATGAGTTATCACCGAGGGTTGGGAAACATTAGGTAAGCATTATGACTGCTCCCAGCTTAACTGCCTTGAGAGGGTTTCAATACCACTTCACAAGAGAGAGGTACTAAGGGAACCTGATGGACCCCCTGAGTTGAAGAGATGGAGTTGAGAGTTCAAGGAGGCTGAGGAGACCAGAATATGTAGGTGAACGCACTAGAGAGAAAAGAGCTGCCCAGGAAAATGAATCCAGAGATCTGCAGAGAGTGTCCCTCAAGTATTGAACAGAAAACTAATTAGTATACGCATGTGAGTGAACTATCACAAGACAGGAAAGGAGCCACCTGAAAAGATCAAAGATAATAGTGTTTGGCACTCACACAGGTCTGCAATAGTGCTTAATCCTTCCAGAAAGATTAGAAAACCTCATGATTCATGGTATTGAACTGAACACACAGGAGGGCCTTATCTCAGTAGTGGGAAATAATCAGACGTCTGCTAAGCATCATTCTGGTCCAGTCTAACAAATCTTAAAAGCAAATTAGGGATCAAACAGTTTCCAAGTGACTTAATGGTGTCTTAGGAAAAAAACTCAAGAAGACAGAGGAATAAAAAAAATTCAGTAACCAAAAAGATAAAAATTATAATATAATACCTGCTATCCAGTCAAAAAATAGCATGCATGCAAAAAAACCTGAAAAATTAGACCCATAATGAGAAGAAAAATAAAGCAATGAAAGTCACCCAGAATTGAGGTTAGAATTGGCACTCAGGTATTAAACATATATTATAACTCTTTCCTATATATTCAAAAATATGAGTAGAAATATGAAGGGTATAAATAAAAACAAATTAAATATCTAGAAACAAAAACTATAATGAAAACAACTATTCATAATAAAATGTAGCAGAAAAAGGTGCACAAAAAATAATGAACAAAGCACAAGTGAGCTGTTGGGCAATCGTAAGTAGCCTTATATGTGTGTTATTAGAGTCACCAGAGAAAAGGATGTGGGAGTGTCAAAACATATGTGAAAAGCAATGGCTGAATCTTTTCTAAATTTAAAGAAAACTGTGAACTTACAGATCCAAAGAGCAATAAATCCAAATTACAAAAAAAAAAAAAAAAAAAAGGAAAAAGAAAGAATACAAAGAAAAGAAAAGAAAAAGAAAGGTAAAAGAAGAAACTACACCAGGGCACATAAGACCAAATTGTCCTAAATTAGTGATAAAAATAAAAGAAAAATTATTAAAACAGCAAAAGAAAAACACATGGGATAGACCACAAAGAAGAACAGAGATAAAGATAACAGCAGATTTATAATTGAAAAGAATGAAAGTTGGGAGAGAGTGGAGCAATACCTTTGAAAGTACTGAGAGAAAACAGCTGTCAGCCAAAAATTCTGTTCCTAGCACACGTATCTTTCAAAAGCAACAGCAGAAAAAAGACATTTCAGACACAGCGAAGCTCAAATAATTTATCACTGACAGACAGTACTGAAAATAAAATGTTTAAATAAATCTTTCTGGTAGTAGAACAATTATACCAGATGAAATATGAATCTACACAAAGAAATGAAGATCGTAGAAATGGTAACTATTGATAATTTTTAATGTTATTTACATCTCCTAAAACTAGTTAACTAAACAAAAATAAAATCAATATAGTGTGTAGTTTTTAACATATGTAAAAGTGAATGTGTGACAATAAGAAAACAAAGATTGAAAACACAGAAGTATTGTATTTTATAATTCTAAGATGTGCAAAATTATGTATTACTTAACAACATAAGTTACTATAAACCACGAAGCAGCCATTAAAATAATAAAAACAAATAACCAATAAGCCAACAATGTAGATAAAATAAAATCATGAAGTCCTCATTTAATTCAGAAGTCAGATAAAGAGGAAAATGTAAACAAAGAATACATCAGACAAATGGGAAACAAAATGTTAGATTTTAATTAAGCAATCACATTAAATGAAAACAGTCAAAACACACCATTTTAAACAGCAGGCTTTTTCTCTTTATTTGACTATTCTTGAATCCAATGAGGATCTTTTATGATTCCATTTTTATCTTCTTTTTGGGCTTTATGGTTATTTGTTTTTATCATTTTATGGCTGCTTTGTGGCTTACAGTATACATTTTTGACTTATGACATGGATACAATGACCCAATTATGTACTATCTACCAGAAACCCAGTTTAAATACAAAGACAGAGTGTATCAAAAGTAAAAGAATAAAAAAAGTCATGATAACTCTAATCAAAAGAAAGGTGGAATGATCATATTGATACCAGATGAAGTAGATATCAAAGCAAAGGCTTTATCAAGAATAAAGAATGTCATTCTTTGATAGTAAAGTCATCAATTTTTTAAGATGATATAAAAAATTTTAAATTGAATGCAATGAAAATAGAGCATCAAAATATATAAAGTAAAAATAGTAGAAATGAAAGGTGAAAATAGATCCACAATTATAGTTAAAGATTTCAACAATCTACTTGGTACAACAAAAAGATAAAATATAGATTACAATATAGAAGACCTGAAAAATACTATCAACCAGCTCATCGATGTTTATAAAATACTATATGCAACAGAATAATTCACAGTTTTTTAAGTATACATGGAACTTTTGCCAAAGTAAGCAATATTCTGGGCCATAAAATAAGTCCTCCAACTCCAAAATTTAAAATGATTCAAGTCATGCAAAATATGTTCTCTGGCCAAGGTGGAATTAAATTGGAAATAAATCACTGGAGGATGCTTGGAAAATCCCCAAATATTGAAAAATGAAACAATACAACTCTAAATAGCCTATAGGTCAAAGTAAAAATCAAAAAGTATGTTAGAAAGTATTTTGAACTGAGTGAAAGTGAAAACACATGTCAAAATATACAGGATGCTAGTAAAGCAGAACTCAGAAGTAAATTATAGCACTAGATCTGTATTAGGAAAAATTAAACAGTTCTCAAATTCATGACTATAGTTTCAACCCTAAGAAACTAGAGAAATATAGTAAATTAAACCTTAAGACAATAAAAGAAAGGAAATAAGGATTGATATAAATCAAAATAGAAAACAGTAAATAGAGGAAATCAATAAAATCAAAAGATAGTTTTTAATAATGTGAAAATTAATTGATTCATCTCATGCCAGACTACCAACAAAAAGAGAGGGGTGAGGGGTGACACAAATCACCAATATTAGGAATAAGAGAGGTCATATCATTACAGATTCTACATATATTAAAAGTATAATAAAGAATACTGCGAACAACGTTATGCCAGTAAATTTGACAACAGAGGAAATCAACCAACTGCTTGAAAAACGCAAACTACCAATATTTATTCAATAACAAGTAGATAACTTGAACAGCCATGTATCTATTTTTAACAAACTTCAGGTTGTAGTTAAAATTCTTTCCAGTCAGAAAATTCTAGTTTCAGCTGGGCGCTGCAACTCATGTCTGTAATCCCTGCACTTTGGGAGGCCATGTTGTGCAGATCACGAGGTCAGGAGTTTGAGACCATCCTGGCCAACTAAAAATACAAAAAAAAAAAAAAAAAATTAGCCGGGTATGGTGGCACTTGCCTGTAGTCCCAGCTACTTGGGAGGCTGAGGCAGGAGAATACCCTGAACCTGGGAGGCAGAGGTTGCAGTGAGCCGAGACCACGCCACTGCACTCCAGCCTGGGCAACAGAGCGAGACTCCATCTCAAAAAAAAAAAAAAAAAAAAAGAAAAAAGAAAGAAAGAAGAAAGAAAATTCTAGTCTCATGTGGCTTCGCTATTAAGTTCCACCAAATGTTTAATGAATATATCATACAAACTTTACACAAGTTTTTCCAAAGAAATGAAAAGGAGGGCACTATCAGAGCCCAGAATTACTCTGACAATAAAAGAAAAACAGAAAGAAAAAAACATCTCCTAAACATGATGCAAAAGCTCTCTACAAAATGTTAGCAAATTGAAGCCAACAATAAAAATATATAATACATAATTACCAAGCGGGGCTTATTCTAGGAATGAAGGTTTAACATTAGAAAACCCATCAATGTAATTCACAATATTGGAAGATAATTATTAAAAATCCATGTGATCATCTCAATGGAGAAAACGGTGTAGAGAAAATCCAAAACCTGTTCCTAGGGAAAATTCTTAGAAAACTAAGAATAGAAGGTAATTTGTCCAACCAAGTGGTTCTATGAAAATATGCAGCTAATATTATATTTAATAGTGAAAGACTGAATGCCTTTTCCATAAGATGGAAACAAGAAAAAAATTATAATAACTACCTTCAACACTTCTGTTTAACATTATACTGGAGGTTCTAGCTAGTAGAATAAGTTAGAGAAAAAAGAAATAAAAGCATGTCGATTAGACAGAAAGAAGTAAAACTGTCTTTATTTGTAGATGACATACTTGTACATGTAGATATTGTGACAGATCTACAAAAATCTACAAAAATTAATTTACGAGTTCAGCAAGGTTTCAGGTTACATAATCAATATACAAAAATCAATAGTATTTCTAAATACAACAAATATCAAAAACTAACATTTAAAATGTAGCAATAACCTGGAACAATATGAAATACTTAGGGATAAATCTAACATGTAGAAAACTTGCACACTGAAAACAACAAAATACTAAAGAAATAAACTAAGGAACTAAAAAATGACAGATATATTATGATTGTGGTTCAGTAGACTCAATATTATCAACACGTTAACTCTTCCTAGGGTGATCTACGGGTTTAATGAAATCTCAGTCAAACTCACAAGAGAATTTTTTTTGCATGTGTGTACCAAACTCATTCAAAAATTCATATAAAAAAGCAAAGGCCCTAGACTAGACAAACCAACTTTAAAAGAGATAAACGCTACTTGATTTAGACACTTATATAAAAGTATAGTAATCAAAATACTGTGACATCAAAGCAAAGACAGAAAAACAAATAAATGGAAATGATAATCCAGAAATATATATATATATGGACAGAGGTATAAAAGAAATTCAGCTTCTAAAGAATGATAATTTTTCAACACAGTGCTAAAAGAATTAGATGTCTATTTGTATGTGCCACGTAGAAAAATCTAGAAAATCAAATGTGTACTAGAACAAAATTTAAAACCTGAAACTATAAAACTTTACAATAAAACCATACAATAAAATCCCATGACCTTGGGATAGGCCAAGATTTCTTACATACAACACTGAAAGTATAGCCCATAAAAGAATTAATTGATAAATTTGTTTTATCAAAGTGAAAAAATGTCTTCTCTTTGAAACATCCTGTTAATAAAATGAAAATCAACATTATATATTGAGGGAAAATATTTGCAAATAATATATCTAATAAAGAATTTTTGCTAAGAATAACAAACTCTTAAAACAATAACAAGAAAACAAACCAATAAAAGTTGGGCAACAATTTGGATGCTTCACCAAAGAAGACATCCTATTGGCAGAAAAGCATGCAAAACAGTGTTTAGCATCATTTTTCTATATGAAATGAAAGTTAAAAATACAATTATATATTACTAAATATGTTAGAATAGCTAAAAGTAAAAAGACTGATCACATTTAATGTTGGCAAAAATGTGAAGAAACTACAACTTTCCAGTGCTGCTGGTGGGTAAGTAAAATGATACAACCACTTTGGAAAACATTTGGAGATTCTTAAAGTGTTCAATATAGACCTACAATAGCATTGAGCCCTTTACTTCTAGTTATTTGCTCAAGGAAAATGAAATTACATCTCTATAACAAATACTTCTATGCAAATGTCAGTAGCAGATTTATTTGCATTAGTGAAAATCTAGAAAATACCAAATATCAATTATCAAGTGAATGGACAAACAGTGGAAAAATTTGTGCAAGGAAATACTATCTATCAATATAAAGACATAGCCATTAACAAACATACCATTGATGAATCTCAAAATTATTATGCTAAGTGACAAAAGCAAGACAAATTGCACATACTGTATAGTTCCATTTACTTAAAATTCTAGAAGGTGACAACCAATTTATTGTTACAGAAAGCAAATCAGATTGCCTGAGCATAAGATGGGGGAAGGATTGGTGAGGAATGAAAGGAAGGGATTCCAACCAGGCCCTTGGAAACTTTTGGGAGTGATGAATATCTGCATTATCTTGAGTTTGGTAATATTCTCACAGGTGTATATATATATGTCAAAATTTATCAAATTGTACCTTTTAAACATGTTCAGCTTATTGTATTTTTTTAAAAAGGAAACAAAAGAATTTTTAAATTTAGACAGTTCAGACAACTGGACTGTCTGGATTAGAGTATCTGCTTTCCTAGTTACCAGTAATGCGACCCTAGGAAAGTTATATAACCTTTCTTTGTTGGCAAAATGGGTATAGTTATAGCAATTACCTATTAGGTAATTCACATATAGTGCTTACAACATTGCATCACATAATAAGGACTAACTCAGCACTTTCTATTATTACTAATGTTGTATGTTCTTAAAGCAATTAAAATATCACACTGCCTATAAATATTATTCTAGATGTTGTAAGGAGAATGCAGAAGAAATTATGGAAAAGAAAGCTATTCATCAGGAAAAAAACGCCACCTTGAGAAAAATATCCACATACATGTGCTCATATACAACTACATACATTTAGATAAATATAAAATGCAACAAATAACTGTAAGGTTTTATAGTTTGGATATTAACTAAAGAAAAAAGTACTATACAATACTACATTTAAAATTATCCTTGGAATAGTTATTTGAAAACTAATTTTCATGAATTCCATTACATATTACTCAGGAAAAGAAAAATCTAATGACAATGTTATTGTTACAGAGAAAGAAATAAAATAGTTCTACCATTGTCTGAAATTATTTGTGTGCATATTTCAGTGACAGAATTGCAAAAATAAATACCATTTAAATTATGATATATATAAAATAACATAAAATATAAAAATAATATAAATAAATTATAATCTAAATGAAAAGTAGATTTTAATCTAAAGGTAAAAGAGTCTAAATGAAATTCCTTATTATAATTTAATACAAGTCAACATTTGTAGCCTTTTTCAGTTTTTTCTTGCCAGTGTGCTTAACTTGTACACATTTTCTAAAATCTTGATTTTCAAGTTACATGTTTTAATTTATATATGACGGAACTAATCACATCTTCTTTACTCTTCCTTCCCTTTCTACATTCAGGCTTTTGCTTGCCATATTTTCTCACTTAAATATATCTCTTTTCTCTAAGTATAATCTTCAACATCACTTCTCTAGCCTATAGCAGGTTTCTTCCTCCTTTGTGTAAAAGAAAGCAAAATGGACCTTATTTTGTGAATCCTATTTTGTTTTAATTAAAAAGATATTGATACAACTCTAAAATATACTTTGAACATTCTAAATAATGGGACAATAACACTGTTTTTTTCCCCTTACCAACAACATTTTGCCAGTAGTTAATTTTATTCAGTTTTTTTCAGCATTGTTTCCTTAAGAGTATTCAAAAGGATGGGGAAAATCATAAGCTGTCTTTTTAGGATACAGAAACACAAAAGGAAAAAAAGTATCTCCTTGTCAGTCACAATGTTAACACTAAGCAACAGCTCTGCAATATTATTCCCACCAAAAATAGACGTCTTAGGTTCACAATGCAATGTAATATTTTAGGGGGACTTAAGAGTGTGCCACAGTTTCCACTTGACAATCTTCTTTTCACTGAGTGTCCATCCTATAAAACACACTGCAGTGATAAGGGACTAAGTTAATGTCCTAGATTGTCTAATAAAATGCTATTATATTGGAACACGTTTAGTAAAATTATTTTCTTTTGAACAATGAATCACCTAGTTGTAATGAAAAATAAGATTTCTTTGGTGTATACCTCTGGGTAATAATTGAGTATTTTCTTCTTGTAGAATGACTTTAGTCTGGCATGTAGTAGGCATTCAATATGTATTTACTAAAATAGTAAAAGAAAAATAGGGCATATTTATTTTAAGGAGTGTTTTGGATAAATATTATAGCTTTAGAAACATGAGCTATGTTATTAATGACCCTCTTCTGTGTGCCATAAAAAGCATGAGTATATCAAGTATAAAACACTAATAGGTCATTTTGCACTGATAATAACATCCTACTTCCTGAAAATTAATGTACATGGTCATTACATGTATATTAATAAACTCTTATTTCAAGAGCTTAATAAGACAGATGGATAACAGATATAATTTTCAACATCAGCAGATTTAACAACAAACAGCTATTTCCAAGTATTACTTTTACTTTGCCAATTCTCAAAAATACTAAACAAGAGGTCATTTTTGTATTCAGTTTTACTGAGTAGAACAGCTCATTGCTTCTAGTAAAATGATATTGGCATTTCGATAATTTCTGCAAACTTGAAAAATTATCAAACATGTTTGGTTTTCAAATAACAAGGGAGAATCACCTGTTATATCTGAATCACAAGTTACCAAGTCTTTACAAATAATGCTGGCTAATCAGCACAACAATAGTGTGGATGGGAAGTGCACAGAGAAGGATAATGGAAAGAGTAGGCCCTGATTGTTCTATTAAAATGGGAGCAATTCAACACTTAGCACCATTAGGCACTGATAACTTGGACTGTATAAAGAAGACCTTTCAGAGTTTCAAGTGTTCTTCAGTCAACACAATGCACTGGTGAATAAAAATTGGTACATTTGTTAAAAAATATAGATACTGGTTGCTGAAGGGAATTATGAACTTGATAATTAGTCACATTTAAAAAAATCATTAAAATAATATATTATGCAAAATTAAATCACAGTGAATGGACCATATGGATATTTTTCTATTTACTGTATTTCATTATGGCACTGATAAGTAGCATATGGTTTGTAACACTGTCATTTAATAATTAAAATGACTTTTATTATTTTGTTTACTGGTTTCTCATTTCTAGAGACTGTAATTTTGCCTTGTGATTAGTAATGAAGCTCACTCAGCAGCTCCTTCTAATAGAACTCAGCATGGACAATTTTCCACACAGATTCAATCTCTGCCTGAATCACACTAATCCTTTGATTGGGCTCAAGGAAAGGCTTGGATCCCTGTAGTTCCTGATGCACCGACTATTCATAAAAATAATAACAAGGCACCAAGCAGTCAGAAATGTGGGCCTTGCACCTGTTCTTTGCCCCAGTGAAACGAGCCGCAGGATGGTCCTTGTTGATTTTTCAGTGGGACTAGATCTAATTTATTCACACTGGGGAATGAAGGCCTCTTGCAAGGTTTGAGCCTAAGGTTGTAGTTGAGAGAAGCTTTTGGTGATCATAACTCATTCCTCTGTCTTTGAAAAAAGACACAGAAGGTTACTCTATACGCAAATCAGACACACACACATAAGTGTAAACACAAACACATGGAAAATAGCTACAGTAAATACAAACAGGCAAAGTGTTTTCATGTTTTGCATGTAGGCAAATATTGAAACAGATTTTCTTAGTGACAATGTTTTTATGGTTCAGTAACATTTGAAGTTATGTTAATACTTATGGATCCCCAGGGAACTATTTAGACCCTATAACTAGTCACCATGGTGGTCTTATGGAATAAAACACTGGTTTGTACAGTACGCTTCTTTATCATTAGGCAACCAAAGTAGTTAATTTTCCCATGTCTGAAATATTAGCTTCTCTTGATTATCAACATATTGATAATTTAAGACACATTTTAGATTAAGATTTGTTAGTCCATACTAAGATGATCATTAGTACACTAGCTTGCTGACAAAATGGTACTCATGCAAAAAAGTGAAGGAAATTATTTACTTTATGAAAGCTGCAGTACTCATTCAAGCAACTCAGCAAGACCAGTATAATTCAGGGGTTAGAAAATAGGCATGAGGATGTAAAAGATGCAGGTCCTAATGTTTAGTGCACCTGGAGTTGGTCCAGGCTCATGCATAACCCCTCCTCACATTTCTCCAAGTAAATATTCATCATGGTTAGCAAGTTCATCTTCTAATGCATTTAAATCCTTCTGAAAGGGTGAATGGGAAAAAATTGTTTTTGTTAATCATAGAGCACTCTGATATTTCATATCCACCTTGTTACTTTTAAGGCTATTTTTTGGAACAGGTTCGGTCTTATTCATATAGACTGATTTTGCTTGTTAGACCATTGTGAAAATAACTAAGTGTTCTGTTCAATATATTTCTCCTAATGTAAAAAGTTCACATTTTTTCTAATCATATGATAAACATATGGTAATATTTATCTTCAATGTTTTATTTTAAGAATGACCTCAAAATGTAGTTATCAAACAACCTTTACAGAGGAAAATGTGATTTTCATTGCTGCGAGTATGGCATTCTAGATAGCCTGAATGGAAATTCAAAATGAAACAACTGAAATGTCAGTTAAAATATTATTTTAAAAACAATGCTAAGTTGTCTTAAAAAGATGAATCCATAGAACTTAAAGTAAAGTGACAATAGTAACCTTGAACAATAAGAAACTGCTAAAAGTAGGTTTGCATCTAGAGGGCTGTATACAACCCTGGAAACATTGAATTTTTGTTTTAATAATGGCATGGGACATAGCAGAATATAAAGCCTAATGCTTACTTATGCTACACAGAAGAGTGATTAGAGTGACTGGTCTATATTCATTTGATCAGGCTGAAGACTAGGCAAGCTAGGTGTCTCTCCCTAGCTGGGTGCCTAGGAGGCACCCATTCTAAATTTTTTTAGTGACTTCTTCAATTTTGCACCTCAGGTGTCTAGGTTACTTCAAATTACACCAGGCCTTAATCTGGGTACTAAGTGGAAGGAAAATATCTCTCCAAAGAATAAACTAGCTTGCCAATCCATGGGTTTACATTGTGAATTCACATCAACTATAAAATCTAACAATTTCAAGCCTAGAGTGGAATGTGGAATGGTCCCTTGTAGGCAGTACACTCAAGTCATTGTGGAAACCATTACAAATCCTCTCTAAAGAAACTCAGCACTGATGAAGATAAAAATCTAAAGAATGAGAACAAAGACACAACATACCAGAATCTCTGGGACACATTCAAAGCAGTGTGTAGAGGGAAATTTATAGCACTAAATGCCCACAAGAGAAAGCAGGAAAGATCTAAAATTGACACCCTAACATCACAATTAAAAGAACTAGAGAAGCAAGAGCAAACACATTCAAAAGCTAGCAGAAGGCAAGAAATAACTAAGATCAGAGCAGAACTGAAGGAAATAGAGACACAAAAAACCCTTCAAAAAATCAATGAATCCAGGAGCTGGTTCTTTGAAAAGATCAACAAAATTCATAGGCCGCTAGCAAGACTAATAAAGAAGAAAAGAGAGAAGAATCAAAAAGACGCAATAAAAAATGATAAAGGGGATATCACCACCGATCTCACAGAAATACAAACTACCATCAGAAAATACTATAAACACCTCTATGCAAATAAACTACAAAATCTAGAAGAAATGGATAAATTCCTCGACACATACACCCTCCCAAGACTAAACAAGGAAGAAGTTGAATCTCTCAATAGACCAATAACAGGCTCTGAAATTGGGGCAATAATTAATAGCTTACCAACCAAAAAAAGTCCAGGACCAGATGGACTGACAGCCGAATTCTACCAGAGGTACAAGGAGGAGCTGGTACCATTCCTTCTGAAATTATTCCAATCAATAGAAAAAGAGGGAATCCTCCCTAACTCACTTTATGAGGCCAGCATCATCCTGATATCAAAGCCTGGCAGAGACACAACAAAAAAAGAGAATTTTAGACAAATATCCCTGATGAAC
Organism: Homo sapiens; assembly: GCF_000001405.40. Lineage (NCBI taxonomy): Eukaryota > Metazoa > Chordata > Mammalia > Primates > Hominidae > Homo > Homo sapiens. The sequence continues at coordinate 91,793,573 of NC_000006.12, read as the reverse complement.
ATCGTTGCAAAAATCCTCAATAAAATACTGGCAAACCGATTCCAGCAGCACATCGAAAAGCTTATCTACCATGATCAAGTGGGCTTCATCCCTGGGATGCAAGGCTGGTTCAACATATGAAAATCAATAAACGTAATCCATCATAGAAACAGAACCAATGACAAAAACCACATGATTATCTCAATAGATGCAGAAAAGGCCTTTGACAAAATTCAACAGCCCTTCATGCTAAAAACTCTCAATAAATTAGGTATTGATGGGATGTATCTCAAAAGAATAAGAGCTATTTATGACAAACCCACAGCCAATATCATACTTAATGGGCAAAAACTGGAAGCATTCCCTTTGAAAACTGGCACAAGACAAGGATGCCCTCTCTCACCACTCCTATTCAACATAGTGTTGGAAGTTCTGGCCAGGGAAATTAGGCATGAGAAGGAAATAAAGGGTATTCAATTAGGAAAAAAGGAAGTCAAATTGTCCCTGTTTGCAGATGACATGATTTTATATCTAGAAAACCCCATCATCTCAGCCCAAAATCTGCTTAAGCTGATAAGCAACTTCAGCAAAGTCTCAGGATACAAAATCAATGTGCAAAAATCACAAGCATTCTTATACACCAATAACAGACAAACAGAGAGCCAAATCATGAGTGAGCTCCCATTCACAATTGCTTCAAAGAGAATAAAATACCTAGGAATCCAACTTATAAGGGATGTGAAGGACCTCTTCAAGGAGAACTACAAACCACTGCTCAATGAAATAAAAGAGGATACAAACAAATGGAAGAACATTCCATGCTCATGGGTAGGAAGAATCAATATTGTGAAAATGGCCATACTGCCCAAGATAATTTATAGATTCAGTGCCATCCCCATCAAGCTACCAATGACTTTCTTCACAGAATTGGAAAAAACTACTTTAAAGTTCATATGGAATCAAAAAAGAGCCCACATTGCCAAGTGAATCCTAAGCCAAAAGAACAAAGCTGGAGGCATCACACTACCTGACTTCAAACTATAATACAAGGCTACAGTAACCAAAACAGCATGCTACTGGTACAAAAACAGAGATATAGACCAATGGAACAGAACAGAGCCCTCAGAAATAATGCCACATATCTACAACTATCTGATCTTTGACAAACATAAAAAAAAAAACAAGCAATGGGGAAAGGATTCCCTATTTAATAAATGGTGCTGGGAAAACTGGCTAGCCATATGTAGAAAGCTGAAACTGGATCCCTTCCTTACACCTTATACAAAAATTAATTCAAGATGGATTAAAGACTTGCATGTTAGACCTCAAACCATAAAAACCCTACAAGAAAACCTAGGCAATACCATTCAGGACATAGGCATGGGCAAGGACTTCATGTCTAAAACACCAAATGCAATGGCAACAAAAGCTAAAATTGACAAATGGGATCTAATTAAACTAAAGAGCTTCTGTACAGCAAAAGAAACTACTATCAGAGTGAACACGCAACCTACAGAATGGGAGGAAATTTTTGCAATCTACTCATCTGACAAAGGGCTAATATCCAGAATCTACAATGAACTCAAACAAATTTACAAGAAAAAAACAAACAACCCCATCAACAAGTGGGCGAAGGATATGAACAGACACTTCTCAAAAGAAGACATTTATGCAGCCAAACGACACATGAAAAAATGCTCATCATCACTGGCCATCAGAGAAATGCAAATCAAAACCACAATGAGATACCATCTCACACCAGTTAGAATGGTGATCATTAAAAAGTCAGGAAACAACAGGTTCTGGAGAGGATGTGGAGAAATAGGAACACTTTTACACTGTTGGTAGGACTGTAAACTACTTCAACCATTGTGGAAGTCAGTGTGGCGATTCCTCAGGGATCTAGAGCTAGAAATACCATTTGACCCAGCCGTCCCATTACTGGGTAGATACCCAGAGGATTATAAAACATGCTGCTATAAAGACACAGGCACAAGTATGTTTATTGCAGCACAATTCACAATAGCAAAGACTTGGAACCAACCCAAATGTCCAACAATAATAGACTGGATTAAGAAAATGTGGCACATATACACCATGGAATACTATGCAGCCATAAAAAATGATGAGTTCATGTCCTTTGTAGGGACATGGATGAAGCTGGAAACCATCATTCTCAGCAAACTATTGCAAGGACAAAAAACCAAGCACCACATTTTCTCACTCGTAGGTGGGAATTGAACAATGAGAACACATGGACACAGGAAGGGGAACATCACACACTGGGGCCTCTTGTGGGGTTGGGGGAGGGGAGAGGGATAGTATTAGGAGATATACCTAATGTTAAATGAAGAGTTAATGGGTGCAGCACACCAACATGGCACATGTATACATGTGTAACAAACCTGCACGTTGTGCACATGTACCCTATAACTTAAAGTATAATAAAAAAAAAAACTAAAGAAAATGAGCCATTCATGATCAATACAACAGTTCACCATAAGACAGAAAGAGTAGAAACAGCCAATAGCCGATTCAGACTTTTAAATAAACAGATATTGATGTTAGCAAAAGTAGAAAATAATTAACAAATTTAATAAATGTTTTAAAATTCAAAAAAGTTTTAAAATATGAGAAGTGATCAGAATGCTATTTAAAACAAAAAATAACAGATCTGAAACATAACTAAATAAAATGTTAAGAATTTTTAAAAACATGATAATTGCAACTAAAACAATGCATACATTATCCAATAGATGACACAGTGAATGAGAACACAGATACAATGCGATTTTTCATAATTCAGAAGGCAGAAATAAGAAAAGGGAAATAATTTTAATAAAATAATGGTTAGAAAACATGAGGATAGACTAATACTAATGTGTGAATAACTGAAGTTCTAGAATTAGATCATACAGATAACTTAGAAGAGAATATTTAAAGGTAATTAGTAAATGAACTTTCAGAATTTCTTACAGAAAACTCAAATTCAAAAAGCTCAAAAAACTTGAGAAGTACAAACAAAAGATTAATGCATGCAGCACACATCTTAACAAAAATGTAAAACATAAACAAAAAGGATGCTATCTTCAAAAAGTACAGACAGAAGAGCATGGACCATGAGCAAAGAAACACCATTAGACTAAGCACCAACTTGAAAATAGCAGAAAGGGAAGATTGAAACAATAGAATATTATTTAAAATATACGAATAAGAATAATTTCAATCTAGGATTCTATATCCAGTAAACTATCTCTCATTAACAAAACTAATGATATTTTCAGGTACCTAAGAATGAAGTAATTTTGTAGTAGTAACAGATTCTTATGAAAGCAAATTTTAAACCATATAATTCTGATGGAAGAAAATGGTTCTCGATTAATATTTTTAAAGCTCTCTTCAAATTCATTATTAACCAGAGGAACCCTAACAGCAAAATAAGACATCATTTCACATCAACTAAATATGCAAATGTCTAGTATGGATGAAAATCTACGATGACAACAAAAAAAATTTTCTATGGCTGGTAAGAATGAATACATCCATCCACTGTGTGAATGTCATTATCTAGAAGAGTTGACAATACAATAACAGATAAATTCTCACACATGTACATCTATATAAACACATTCAGATACATATGTGTATATATATGTGTATATATATACACATATATATACACATACATACATGTGTATATATATGTGTATATATATACACATATATATACACATACATACATGTGTATTCACAGATGCATTGTTTATAATAGTAAAATAATGAAAACAAACCAAGAGTCCATTCAGAATACAAAATATCAAAAGAGACATATAATAGAACATTATACCTCAATGAAGATGAGGTACAACCACATGCATCAACATGGCTAAATGTCCAAAACTAATACTGAGTAAAAAGAAATTCATAGAAGAATATATGCAATATTGTTATATAAATTTCAAAAATAGGCAACAGTTAATAATATGCTATTTAAGTATACATACAACATAAATCTATAAATAGTAACAGTGATTAACACAAAGGTTGGCATAGTGGTTATTTCTTGGGGAGTGAGTGGGTAGCAATTGGTAGACAGAAGGATGCAATTATTTAAGCACACATAGGGATTCTAAGTATGTACTAGTAATTTACAGCATTTAGACTGTGTGATGAGTACACATCTATGCTTTTTAAAATTTTACTATTATTTAAAACCTGCCTACATATTATATATAACGTTTTGTGTAATGACAAGTTTCAAAAAATTACAAAAATTTATATGGAAGAGTATGTTCTTGCATAAGGGAAAATGTTAAATTTTTGTTTCACATTCCACTTGCCTGGAAGGCAAAATTGAAAAGCAGAATGAGGAGCTATCACACTCCGGGGACTGTTGTGGGGTGGGGGGAGGGGGAGGGATAGCATTAGGAGATATACCTAATGTTAAATGATGAGTTAATGGGTGCAGCACACCAACATGGCACATGTATACATATGTAACAAACCTGCACGTTGTGCACATGTACCCTAAAACTTAAAGTGTAATAATAATATTAAAAAAAGAAAAAAAAAGAATAAAAGAATAAAAAAAAGAAAAAAAACAAACAGAAAAGCAGAATGAGAACAGAACTGCTTACTTTTAAGAAAAATTTAGCAACACTAGCTTCCAAAGAACATGGTCTTTAAGATTATTGCCTATGAAGAAAAAGGAGAAAACAAGAAAGGCCTATTAATTTAGGACCCCAACTCTAATGAAATCATAGCTTTAGAAGTGTATTGAAGTAAAATGCCTACTTGGAAGTCTTTAAATAAAAACAGATTGTTCTTTAGCCATTCAAGACCCTTTCAAATGTAAAGTCACCCACCACCTTACCACTCTAGCCTTTGGTTACAGCAAAGCAGCTCCTTCGTATCTTAGGTGCTAAGATTAGAGAAAGCCATTATCAGGAAAACAGTACACAATGTAATCAGATAATTGTAAGAGCAAAATAGAGCACATGTTACATTAAATCGCTTGGTAAAAAGTCTCTAAAAGTTGGACATTTTAAATCTTTTTGGGGCAATATTGCATAGCAGTTACACATCTGGGATTTAGGCATATTTTATTCAAAGCCCAGCTCTACTATTTGCTAGTCATATACTCTGCAGAGAGACATTTAGCTTTTAGGTTTCTTAATTTTCAGGATTAAGATATGATGTAATAAGTCTCTTTGTATAGTGGTGTCTGACACATAAAATTGCTAAAGGAATGTTAACAATTTGGGTTATGCATTGGACTCTGTCATCATAACTCTAAGGTTTTAGGTACAGATCCCCATCTAGAATAAACCATTCACCTATTAATGAGAATACATTTAATCATTAAGGGTTTTTTTTTTTTGGTAATGTACAATGAATATTGATAGCAGTACTGAGGGAATCAATATTCTGTGAGGGGCTAGGAGTAAATGCAGGTACCAAATTACAACAGGTATTACTAATTGACTTATCAGAGACTGAATTTAGCATGTTTTGTTTTGGTCTTACAATGTTTTTAAAACGGTGCTAACTTTTAAATATTGAGACATTTATATATGCATAATAAACCTATATATTAAAATCTCTATATAAATTCTACATAGATTTTAATATATAGATGTTAAAATACAGATGTTTTATTAAATCTGTTTTATATAAAATCTACATATATTTATATATAGATTTTAAAATATAAATTTTATAAAGATTCTTATAAAATCGATATAGATTTTAATATATAGATTTATTTTCTTTTATAAAATTAGAGGGCCTGGCTACAATATGTGTCCCTATTCTGTAAATGGCAACAATTGACCAAAACTGACTCACAGCCACAAATTTTATCTGTCCACAGTTTACTAGACATCCCACTACTCTCTCTTGTGTTACCTACCTGGTCCCTAAACCACTTTAGAGTCTGGGGCATTGAGAGAAAAGATAAAAGGAAAGCTGCATTCACTCCGAAGGAGAAATCTTTTATACCAAGAAGGCGTAATTAAAATGCAGGTGTCCTGATGAAAAGAAAAAACAAATCTGAATTTATTTATAGAGTTCAGAAGAAAAAATAACACAAAAAACTTTGTTAAAGCTTACATTTTCTTAGATTCCTGAATGTGAAAAAAAAAAAAGTATTCACTTTCTGCATCAGGACACTTCATTTTAAGCAGTGGCATTACAAATAGCATTTTAAATCTTAAAAAATAAAAGTTTCCTAATGTATTTTTCCAATAGCTATTAATGTTAATTGCCACTTACAGCATTTAAATCCTATTGTTTTCTACAAATGTTCATTGCAAATATAGATTATTCACTGTAATATTGTTAATAGGGATGTATGTACTTGCTTACAAATCGAAGTGCCAGCTATAACCCAACACGTTTCTCCACTTTCTTCAAAACCTGTTCTGTACTCATTTTCTTTCATCTCAGTAAATACAATTTCTTTTCTACTAGTTGCTGAAGCTAAAATTCCTGGTTACATCCTTATGCACGTTGTTTCCCTCACACCCTGCAACACTATTTCATCCTGCTGAACCTGCAGTGGCTGGAGTCACCTAAAGTCAGCAGCAGGGGAGTTCCCACAAGGGAGTGCCCCAAACCATCCTGAGATGGGCCTGATTAGAATTCCAAAGAAAGATTGCTAAGCACCAGGCGATTAGACCAAAGCATTTATTAAGGACACTTACAGAGTACTGCAGCATTCCTCACTACAGACGGCAAGGAAAAAGGGATTTATGTCTACTCCGATACGTCCATGGCAAGGAAATCAGAGTACGGAGTTTTGATGAGAGTTGAATGAATTTGGCTCACGGCCTAGACCAGTTTCTTTCACTGTTTCAGGCAACAATCTAAATGCCTTTATCAGTGCCTCGGAATTTTCAAGCCTGCCGGGAAAACTTGCACCTGGCTGGGTCACAGAGCACTCAAGGCACTGAGTGATTTGCGATTTTCGGTCAGGACACAAGATGGTGGGGGAACCTGGGGAGATCCTACAACCACTTTTATCAGGTACATTTTTATACAGAACTTAAAAACTCCTTGCAATCTTCACTACTTCCTGCTTACTCCAAACCATCATCATCTCTAACCTGCACTTTCTCAGTAGTTCAAAGACCTAACTGGCATCATTAACTTAACTCCACTAAAGGCTGTTAGTCAAACAGTAGTTAAATTCTATCACTTCGCTGCTCAAAATCCTCTGTTTTTTTCCACACACTTCATTAATTCCAAAGTATTTTCCACATACTATAGTTTTTTAAGCCCCTTCCCTTCCTATTACCACTCTCAACATTCATCTCCCACCACTCTCTTCTCCTTTCACTCAGTCTACTCCCACACACACTGGTCTCAGTTCCCCTCAACAACAAATACTGTCCTGCTGCAGGGCCTTTGTCCATGCTGTTACCTGAGATCCCTTGACTCTATTCCCAGCTTGCTCCAGCTCTGTGCTCAGAGGTCTCCTCCCTCTACAGACAGGTGGTTCCTGACCCACTTATACCAATAACACCTCACCCATGTTGTTGCTCCAAATCTCTAACTTGCTTTAGGCCTCGACGCAGTGAAGTGATTTATCATCACTTAATGAACTCTGTTTATTTACAAGTTTATATTTCTCTGGTCCATCACCCCCCACTTCAAGGTAAACTTCATGTGGATTGGGCTTTGTTTTAAACATTTCTGAAAAAAGTCACAAAAACTATGCCTAGCACATATTAGAGGATGAATACATTATTGTCAAGAGAATAAAGAGTTTATAAAGGAGTTTTAAAGCAAAATTTGTTCGAATTTCACAGAATGAACTACTATAGGAACTATTATTAGGGATTTCCACATACATTTTTGTCAGTAATCCAATAGGTACTACACTGGAAGAAAAAATGTATATCTTAATTAAAGCTAAATTAAATTTAAATTGAGACTGTATCTTGATTTTCTGTAATGAAACTGAGAGGTGAAGCTGGCTGGGTCTCTGAGTGGGGTGGGGACTTGGAGAACTTTTCTGTCTAGCTAAAGGACTGTAAACACACCAGTTCTAGCTAAAGGTTTGTAAAGACACCAATCAGCACTCTGTAAAAACACACCAATCAGTGCTCTGTGTCTAGCTAAAGGTTTGTAAACACACCAATCAGCACTCTGTAAAAACGCACCAATCAGTGCTCTGTATCTAGCTAAAGGTTTATAAATGCACCAATCAGCACTCTGTAAAAACGGACCAATCAGCACTCTGGAAAATGGACCAATCAGCAGTATGTGGGTGGGGCCAAATAAGGGAATAAAAGCTGGCCACGAGAGCCAACAGTGGCAACCTGTTGGTGTCTCCTTCAATGCTGTAGAAGGTTTGTTCTTTCGCTCTTCACAGTAAATCTTGCTGCTGCTCACTGTTTGGGGCCGCACTACCTTTATAAGCTGTAATACTCACTGCGAAGGTCTGTGGCTTCACTTCTGAAGTCAAGCTAGGCCATGAACCCACCAGAAGGGAAAAACTCCAGACGCACCATCTTTAAGAACTGTAACATTCACTGTGAGGGTCTGTGGCTTCATTCTTGAAGTCAGTGAGACCAAGAACCCACCAGAAGGAACCAATTCCAGACACAATACATGAAATGGTTAGTGATATAAAGTTCCCTTTTGTGGGTCTATGTCCTTCAGAAAAGATAAGACACTAACCCGAACACTAACTCCTATCTCTCTGGAGTTTACATTTCATTATATTTAGATTGAATGGAGAAAGCCAAGTTAATATTAGTGTTTTCAAGGATACCTTGCACATGGATTTGAATCTGAGCGTGAATTAGCCACCCTTCTAGCTGTACAAACAAATTATGTCTAGTAGTATTTGGATTTTAAGTAATAGGAAACTTGGGGAGTGGGCAGGGTTGGCCTAGTTTCTTTGGGCTGTCTAGAGCACAGGTATGTTTGCCTACTATGAATATTCCCTGCACTCAGCCACTGATGAAGAGACCAGAGTTGGATCCCTGATCCAAACAACCCAGTTAGATTTCATCATCTGGCAATTTTAAACTGTGCTAAGGCATTCTAGTTTATTCTAGACTGGCTTCTTGAAAGAAGAGTTAAATTAAAAACTGTGAAGTGATTATCGTTTGCTTGTCATGTAGAATGAAAAGCAGAGGAATCTTATAGAAAGAGAATAAAGAGAGAAAGATGAAAAATAAAGAATAAATGTTATCTTTCATCTTGATGATATTCTCCTATTGCGGCTAAGAATCTAGGTTACATTTCTGTACTTAAGTTCCATGAGACACACCTGTAACCTCATAAATTTTTTAAAATTGCATCATTTAAATTTTATTCACTTGTTTTGCTTAATTCATTCTTACTGGATTTCTATTGCTTGAAAATTTTTTATTTTCCAATCCAAATAAACACCAGTCTCCTCTTAGCAAATCTTTTAACCAACCAATCATTCATGACTTAACTATTAAATAGTCAAATTGATTCCTTGCTGTACCTTCTTCTGAATAAAAATTGGAAGGAATAAAATATAAACAGTTTTTCATAAATAAAAAGTTTGTGTTTTCCAAAAAATTTGCTAGCAGGAAATATCCAACCTATCAGTCTTGAAGGTAGACTAGCAGAGAAAGGTCATTTTTGAGGACCAAGTGAGGGGTGCAAATAAAAGATGGGGAAAAAGAAGTCTTTTGATTTAATGTAAAAGTGTTGTTTGCATCCATAGCTAACTGTTTTTTCTGTAACAAAGAACAGAAAACTTGAACATATAAATGATGAGGTTCAAATTCTCTGGAAGTAAATTGTGGACATTTTGATTCAAGAGTACTTTCATGCGGATGTAACTTGTTCTAGTTGAAAAGCCTCTTTTTAGGCTGAAATTTAAAAAGAAAGATAAAAAAGAATAAAGGTAAAAGATACTGAGCAGTACAACAGCCATCATCTACAGAGAACCACAGTCTATGCAGTGTAGCTTGAGATTTCTCAAAACCATTAGGAATTTCAAAATGCTTTCATTTCTGATTTTTTTGCTATAAGTTTCCTGTTTTAGTGTAATGAATTTAAATTTGTTTTCAATTACTTAATCTGTCATCTTAAGATAAATTATCCTTCTTTCCTAAATCACATAGCCAGCAATTAGACCTGCAGAACAAATTATCTTCTCTTCTTACTTGCTTCACAACTTAAAAAGAAAAAAAAAAAGAAAAAAGCCAGTGGCCTTACTTGATCACATGAACTGAGTTTTATTTAAATGGCTTCCAAAGTGAAAGATTACCTACTTTATAATATATCTAATCAACAAAATCTACATATTTGTCTAACAGATAAAGTAATTATACAGGTTTTATATTATTCAAGTTACATAACTATCAACTGTAGAGAAACATCTAGTAAAACAACTGATATTCACAAAATATAACAGCACTGTATACAAACAGCTGCCCATGCACAGATGTGTATTTCTCATTTCTTCTTAGCAGTAGTCTCTAATTCTGGAATTGGGACAGCCTCCTGATCTAATATGCAGTGTCTCTGTGTCATCTAACTCTGGCCTCATTTGCAATCACTGCTTCCCCTGGAGCCACTAGATTACGTCATCCCTGTGGAGTCTAGAATAATACAGTATTCTTGTATGAAAATAAGAGTACTCGAAGAGCTTATGCAAGAGCCACAAGGGGCTTGAGAGCCTTTGAATAAGTACCATTACTCCATAGGGACTCTAAGACTGTGGGGATATTCAGCCTTTGTATCTTATTTTTAAAGTGCTGTCACAAAGAAGAGGCTTGAATCTCTTATTTGATAATAAGCAGAAAGCTCTATAAGTCCTAATTGCTTAAAAAATGTTTTGGCAAAGAAACAATCACATATTCTAAACATTGTGTTATCTGTTGGAAAGAATTCCCATTGTGGAAGTTCCCACCTTGCACTTTTGGAACCCAGATGTGTCTCTGGCTGCCCAGGTGGTAGGAGTTTTAAGATTTTCTCCCTAAGCATCACTTCCATAACTGCTCTCTCTCCTTAATTCTGCACCTTTGAGGAAACCCTGGAATTAAGGAAATCAAGTCCCTAAGCCTGCCATGTACAGTTGGACGGCAAGGACACCTCAAAGCTCAAGCCAACTTAGGAGTCCCTGAGCCTGCGGAGATGATAGAGAACTAAAGTTTTGACATGCAGTGGACCTTAAGATCTGTATAATTTGTCAATGGCTAAGCTATATTGGGAACAAGAAGATCAAATCAGTTTTGGTGAGGTTTCCAAAATTTAAGGAACCAGAATCCTCAAACTGAGAAATTGTGTTGGTTGCCTCGACTTCATTGTGATCTGTATCCATCTGCCAAGTGTTGGAACCAGCTGTCCAAAGCAAGGGGTGGGGAGTAGGGGGGGCCCTGTGTGTGAGATGTCATCCTCTTCCAGGGATACCAGTCCTCCTAGAGCCAAAGTTATCCCCTGCAGCCATGATGGCAGGAAGCCACAATGCTGGGATGACAGCTGCAGCAGCATAAAATGTCTGATTGCTCTCCCGGATGAACAGTGCTTCCTTGTTCTTAATGACACCAGATGGCACAGCCTACCCGGGGATACTCAGGATGCTGGGTTTGCACAACTTATGAGGAAAACTAGGAGAAAGGAGAAGACAGAGTGCTTGGGACAATCTGGAGAGAGTGTTCATGGTAGAACAAGAGAAAAGGTGGGTTTTCTCAATTGTGGGAATGAAATTCTAGCACAAGTTTACTTTCTTCAGTTTTGGAGTTTTTTTCAATTCTACCACATGATTTGTGTGTTTATTAACATGAGTTTGGAAGCAATTTAAATGTGTATTAGTGCAAGAGATAGCAAACAGCACACAAAAAACACATGCAGAAAGGCAGGGATTGGATTTACATATTTAACTAAACTGGAAAATTCTCAAGGTAAAAATATCGTAGACAAAATAACATGAACTTTAAAAGTGAATATTCTGAATCTGTGTCACAAAAATCTACCACACAGAAAGGCTATGCAGTATAATATATAGTTTCCTTTCTTTCTCTCTCTCTCTCTTTTAAATTATTTGTCTCCTCAGTTTGCTCCGGATAATTAAAAAAATACTTAATAAGTGGGCACCAAAAAAAAAAAAAAAAACCTGGTTTACCAGCATTTGAGCACATGGAATATAAAAAAACTGCTGAAAGTTAATCCACTCTATACCAGAGAGTTTCACTGTTATCTCTGTCTTTGGATTCCCCTTTTAAACACATTAGTGAATAAAAAGACAATTTAAATGATCATTGCCTATGGTAGTTCAATGAGAAAGAGGTCAAACACTCACCCAACCACTCTCCATGAGGACATGACATGTATGTGAAATGATAGTTCTCTAACAACACCAACGTTAGTCCCACTACACTTTGCATTTGACAGTGCTGGTTACTAGAGTAAACATTTGGAATAGGATGATGAAAAAGGTCATGTTTTAAAGTGTCTGGTGGGTAAAGGGCCTAATATCACAGCTACTCCTGTATAGAAGCATGCACACCATGCTTGCTTTTTGAATGTGTGTTGAGACCCTTACCTCACTACCATATCCCCTATCTACTCCACAGTAAGCATTTTTTATCAGTGGGCAAAGTTATGGAGCAACACATCAGTAGCAACAGAAATGCTAATGGACTACTTTCAGTGAATGGAGATTTCTTCTAAAGTCCTCGTTGGCTTATTTTGGGCCAAACTCTGATTTGGAATATAGTGAAGAGAAAAAGGAGAAAAATCATGTTTTAAACCCTTATCCTGGGGAATAATCTTTACTTGGAATGCAATCTTCGGTCGTAATATATTGTGAAAGCACACACACAGGTGGTTTCGTAATTATAGCATTCAAAACTGTAAATGCTAGACTGAAGATTGCAAATCTACTTTCATTATAACCACTTGTTTTCAATCACTGATAACATTTGAAAAATTGTCCTTGGGACTAAAATTCTCACAGTCCAACAGATAAAGAAAGGTACAATGAATTTATGTGTCAAAGTGGGAGTAAGGGAGTGAAAGAAGTTGAGGGGTAAATGGTACTTTAATAATGGTATCCTCATTGAATATGAACCCTTACTCCCTACGGCTCTATCTGAAAAACTACCAGTATAGGCTGTGTCCATTAAGTGACAGCATCTGGCCTGTCATCTGAATAATTCATGGACCCAGGCGGCTATTAAGAAGACAGGTGTAATTTTCTTCTGAGTGATATGAATTGTTTGTTGTTTAAGCAGTATAAATGTATCAGATAATTTTTAATCTTCCACCCCATTTTCTCAATAGTGATTTAAATGGTCAAAGTCAAATAATTACAAGCTTGAATAAAAAAAAATACTCAACTTTCATAGCAGTACATGTAGTCATTTGCAATATAGCTTTTATTCTGTTCTTCTGGCTTGAAAAACCCAAAGTATGATCATTAGAATGCATTATACATTTTAATGATCAACATATTTGTGATTGAAAAGTAGAAGTAAGAGACATTGGAAAATATGTAAAATATAAAGAACATATTCACAAAAAAGATGCACATGGAGTTTCATTTGAATTTATAAAAATCTTTATAATGTTTTTAGTGTTTTATAAATCTTCCTTCAATATGTCTGGGTGAAACAAGTGGCAAAACATATTCTAATTTTATGGAAAAGACACAGTATAAGCACAGTAAAACAAATGCAACTTCAACCAAAATTCACTAATTTCAGGCTAAAATTAAAAATTGAATTAAAGTTACTTCTACAAGATTAAAATCAGGTAAAAAAAAATGGTGGGAAATCTGGGAAACAGTAGCTTGTAGACTCTTTGCATAAATTAATTACTGTAGGCAAAATGTTCATGCCTTCACCTAAATTTTTGAGTATTTTTTTCTTTCCACTCCATTTTGAGAGGGTAGATACAGATGTTTTCCCTGAATTGTAGGTTTCTTCTTAACTGATACTAAGATACCAGCAGAAGACTAATGTACATTTCTACAACATTTACTATTTGTGACAATTTAATACTTGAAAGTCATTTTATCACACTCAAAGGAGTATTTGCTGAATACCAATTGTGTGTCAAGAAAGTTTCCATATATCATTTTACTTAAATCTTAGGAGCTTTCAACATCTTGGTAGAAAACCCATCCAATACAGCCATCTCAAAATTTATTCATTTTGAAACACTAACACAGTTAATCTTCACTCAACTGCTGTTACCCATTCTGATGACCATTTATTTCATCAATATAATGAACATCAGGAAACATTCTTGGTCTGGAATAATAAATGCTATTTATTTTATTCCTTCACCAGAATCTTTTATCTTTAATTCCTTACTATCAGAGCATCTCTTCCACCTGTAGAAAATGGTCAGTGTTTCAACTCTTTATTTTCTCTCAAACCATCAACATTTCTCATTTGGCTTCCATCCATCTTCAAACTACAACCTGCAAGACATTCACATACATTTTCCTCTCAGTATCCTTAAATCCTTGCCTTCTTCTCACCACATTGGTCCTGCAAAAGCAGGCTCTAGAACAATCCCATTTTTCCCACTTCAACAGCTGAACTGTAGCACACTACAGTACAAACTTTCATATCTGTCAAGTTGTCACTAACAATATGTTATCCATAATCGCAACTGGATTATTAGCTCAGAATTCCTCAAACCTAATACTAGGTAGTTTCACTTCCATTCCCCAGAGAAACTATCCTAAACGTTTGACATATCTGTAACCAAATTATTCAATCATTGCTATTCCAAATCTTGTTTCGTATGACTTAGCACTTGCTATTGTCTCCAGTAGAATTAAGAAAATGTAAGATATTAGAGATACATTATTTCAAATGCAAAACAACAAAGTATTATCCCCTCAATAATATCCATACTTCTTTCCTACGAGTCTCAGAGAAAAAGACATGTCCTATTAGTCAAGGTGATTCTTGGACATGTGGGTCAAATGTTACCTTCCTGGTCTCCTATAGGCTTAATTTCACCACATTTTCACTTAGGTAATTTCAATTCCTGTCCTCAATTAGCATTAGCTTTCTTTTCTTCAGCATATAAATAGATAATCATTTCTATTGTTTCTATGTTTTATAATTTTCAAAATCAAGCCCTTTATGTTCTTCCTATTTACTTTGTCAACACACGTTTTTCTGGCACCAGTGAATGTCTGTTCATTCCAATGACACTCCATATAATCAATCAATAACAAGCCAAAAACATTGGATATCTCTCACTCTTTCTGTTAGTCTCATGTGACTGCATTCTTTCCTATTCAACAGTCTTTTTTCCCCTCCAAGTTTTGAAACCAGGAGTGACTTCCTGGTTTCTTCTGTGATCACTGCTTCAAAGTGTATTACCACTTAGGATAACTCTTTTATGCCCATCTATTCAAAAGTAGGTGTCACTCAGTGCTCTGTACTTAACTCTTCTTAAATACATCACGTTGTCACTAAAAGTGATTTCCTTCATTAGTTTAGTTTTTAATATCCACAAATATTTTATGGCCATCAAAGGTAAATCTTAAAATAAGATCTGAACTCCAGAATCATACATTCCATTGCTTCATTGCTTAAATGCTCAGAGATATTTCTAGTTTCAAGGTCGAAACTAGCTAAGATAAAATGGAACTATTTGCTTTGCCTCCCTCATAACCACCATCAATACATCAATATATATTCTTCCTGGTGAATCCCTTATTTATCTAGGATGATGGCACAGAGACCTTCAAGCCTGTCATGGTAGAAAATGAAAAAGTATCTTTGGATTCTTAGTTTGTATTTCAAACCTCTGATTATCAAATATGTTCTCATTTCATATCTATAAAACTTTTCATCTATACATGAACAAACTGCTACTTTTTAAATTTCAGACTCTTAGCATCTCTCACCTTAATTATCAAAATGCCATCAAACTTTGTCTCTTTCTATTAAACCCTTTTCCCCAATACATTCACCAGATGACCAAGATGGCAAATATTTCTTCTTAGTTCAGAAAAAAAAGTCATTTTATTTAGGAAAGTCATAACTCAAACAACACTAAATAATATTTAAAGAAAATCTTAAATATCCTTCCTCTTTTGCCCAGCCTTGTACTTCAGGAATAATTGTTTTTAAGCAATTTTAGTTTTATTATCACATTTTAACCATAAATACAAATAAAAATTTATATGTCTGTTTATCAACTTACTTTCAGAAGTCTACTTTAACTCTCATTTTTAAAAATAAGGTAGTTGGCAAAATTATACTACTTACTAATTTTTTCCCACATCCAACTTCTGATATTTTAGTTGCTATTGTGATTTTGAAACCTGTTTCACTCATTAAATTTTATTTTAGATGCAGGAGGTATATATGCAGGATTGCAACCTGGGTAAATTGTGTCACCGAGGTTTGGTGTATAAATGATCCTGTCACCAGGTAATAAGCATAGTACCTGACGAGCAGTTTTTTACCCTTGTCTCCCTCCCACCCTCCCCTCTCTAGTAGTCCCCATTCTGTATTGTTTCCACCTTTATGTCCATGCATACTCAATATTTAACTTTCACTTATCAGTGAGAGCATAGGGTATTTGACACTCTGTTCCTGTGTTAAATCACTTAGGATAATGGCGTCCAGCTGCATCCACGTTTCTTCAAAGGACATGGAATACTACACAATCATTACACCATGAAATATTACAAAGGTGTAAAGACATTCTTCTTTATGGCTGTGTAGTATTCCATGGTGTAAATGTACCACATTTTCTTTACCTAACCCCCCACTGATGGACGTCTAGTTTGATTCTATGTCTTTGCTATTTATGAAAAGTGCTGTGATAAACATAAGAGTGCATGTGTCTTTTTGGGAGAATGATTTATTTTCCCTTGGATATATATCCAGGAATGGTATTGTTGGACCAAATGGTAGTTCTGTTTTAAGTTATTTGAGAATTCTCCAGACTGCTTCCCATAATGGCTGAACTAATTTACATTTTCACCAACAGTGTATAAGCAGCTTTTTCTCTATAACCTTCCCAACATCTGTAATTTTTAGACGTCTTAATTAATAGCCATTTTCACTGGTGTGAGGTGTTATCTTATTGTGGCTTTGATTTGGGTTTCTCTATGGTGAATAATGTTGAGCATTTTTTCGTTTGTTTGTTGGCAACTTGTATGTCATCTTTAGAGAAGTGTCTGTTCCTGTTCTTTGCCCATTTTTAATAGGGTTATTGGTTTTTGCTTGATGAATTGTTTAATTTCCTTATTGATTATGGATATTAACCCCCTGTTGAATACATAGTTTGTGAATATTTTTCCTATTTTGTAGATTGTCTGTTTATTCTGTTGATAGTTTCTTTTGCTGTGCAGAAACTTTTTAGTATAATTAGGTACCACTTGGCCATTTTTGTTTGTGTTGCAATTGCTTTTCAGGGCCTAGTCATAAATTATTTGCCAAAGCCTATGTCCATAATGGTGTTTTTCAGGTTTTTTTCTCTAGGGTTTTTATAGTTTGAGGTTTTACATTTAGATATTTAATCCATTTTGAGTTAATTTTTTATAGTTAAAAGTAGTAAGAGTAGGGGTTGAGTTATCTTTTTCTGCATATGGCTAGATCATTTTCCCAGCACCATTTATTGACTAGAGAGTCCTTTCTTCATTGCTTGTTATTGTAGACTTTGTTGAAGATCAGATGTTTGTGGATATGCAGTTTTGTTTCTAGTTTTCTCTCTTGCTCCATTGATCTATGTGTCTAATTTTTGTACCAGTACCATGCTGTTTTGGTTACTGTAGCATTATAGAATAGTTTGAAGTCAGGAAATGTCTCCATCTTTGTTCTTTTTGCTTAGGATTGCTTTGGCTATTTGGCTTATTTCTGGTTCCTTGTGAATTTTAGAATCATGTTTACTGATTCTGTGAGAAACGACATTGGTAGTTTGATGAGAATAGTGCTGAATCTGTACATTGCTTTGGGCAGTATGGCCATATTAACAATATTGATTCTTTTGATCCATGAGCATGGGATATTTTTTCCCATTGTATCATCTATGATTTCTTTCAGCAGTGTTTTGTAGCTCTCCTTGTAGAGATCTTGCACCTCCTTGGTTAGATGAATTACTAGGATTTTTGTGTGCATGTGGGTATGTGTGCAGATACTGTAAATGGGATTGTGTTCTTCATTTGGCTCTCAGCTTGAACATTATTGGTGCCTAGAAATACAACTGATTTTTGTACATAGATTTTGTATCCTGAAACTTTACTGAAGTTTTTTTATCAGTTCTAAGAGGCTTTTGGCAGAGTCTTTAGGGTTTTTTAGGTACAGAATCATATCATTAATAAAGAGATAATTAGACTTTTTCTTTTCCTATTTGAATGCCTTTTATTTCTTTCTCTTGCTTGATTGCTCTGGCTAAGAGTTCCGAAACTAAGTTGAATAGAAGTAGTAAGAGTGGGCATGCTTGTCTTGCTTTAGTTCTTAAGTAGAATGCTTCCAGCTTTTGCCCATTCAATATGATGTTGGCTGTGGGTTTGTCATAGATGGTTCTTATTATTTTGAGGTATGTTCTTCAGTGCCTAGGTTAGTTGAGGGTTTTATTTTTAATCATGAAAGGATGTTGAATTTTATCAAAAGCTTTTTCTGCATCTATTGAGATAATCATATGGTTTTTGTTTTTAATTCCGTTTATGTGGTGAATCAAATTTATTGGCTTGTGTTTGTTGAACCAGCCCTGCATTCCAAGAATAAAGCCTACTTAATTGTGGTGAATTAACTTTTAGATGTGCTGCTGGATTCAGTTTGTTAGTATTTTGTTGAGGATATTTGGGTCTGTGCTCATCAGGGATATTGGCCTGTAGTGTTTTTTTGTTTTTGTTGTGCCTTTGCCAGATTTTGGTATCAGTGTGATTCTAGCTCCATAGAATGAGTTAGAGAGGAGTCATTCCTCCTCAGTTTTTTTGAATAGTTTCAGTACATTGGTGCCAGTTCTTCTTTGTACATTTGGTAGAATTCAGCTATGAATCCATCTAGTCCAGGGCTCTTTCTGGTTGGTAGGATTTTTATTACTGATTCAATTTCAGAACTCGATATTTGTCTATTCAGTGTTTTGATATCTTTCTGACTCAGTTTTGGGAGGTTGTGTGTTTCTAAAAATGTAACCATTTCATCTTGATTTTCTATATTTTGTGAATACAGGTGTTCAAAATAGTCTTAGGGTTTTTTTTTTTTTTTGTATTTCTGAGGGATTTGCTGTAATGTAACCTTTGTCATTTCTGATTGTGCTTATTTGGCTCTTTTTTATTTTCTTTGCTAATCAATCTTGTTTGTCCTTTCAAAGAACCAGGTCAGGTTTTGTTCATAGTTTTATGGATTTTTGGATCTCAATTTCATTCAGTTATAATCTGATTTTCATTATTTCTTTTCTTTGTCTAGCTGTGGGTTTAATTTGTTCTTGTTTTTCTAGTTCCTCCAGGTGCAATGCTAGATTGTTAATTTGAGATCTTTCTAACTTCTTGGTGTAGGTGTTTAGTGCTATAAAATTTCCTCTTAACAGTGCTTTAGCTGTATCCTAGACATTTTAGTATGTTGTGTCTCTGTTTTCATTTATCTCAAATATTTTTAAAATTTATGTCTTAATTTCATTATTTACCAGAAAATCATTCAGGGGCAAGTTTTCTGATTTCCATGTAATTGTGTGGTTTTGAGGGATCCTCTTGGTACTGGTTTGTATTTTTGTTCAACTGTGGTCTGAATGTATAATTGGTATGAGTATTAGTCTCTTCTCGAATTGCTATAAATAGCCACCTGAGACTGGGTAATTTATAAAGAAAAGAAGTTTAATTGGCTTATAGTTCCACAGGCTGTACAGGAAGCATGGCTGGGGAGGACTCATGAAAACTTACCCTCATGAGAGAAGGCGAAGAGGAAGGAAGCATGTCCTACAAGGCTGGGAAAGGAAGAAGAGCTGAAAGGTGGGGATGCTACACACTTTTAAACAACCAGATCTTGTCAGAACTCACTCACTATCATGAGAACAGTAAGGGGAAGCGGATATCTGCCCCCATAATCCAATCATCTCCCACCAGGCCTCTCCTCCAACACTGGGAATTACAGTTTGACATTAGATTTGGGCAGGGACACAAATCCAAACCATATCAGTATGATTTCAAATTTTGAGATTTATTGAGATTTGCTTTATGGTCAAGAATGTGGTCCATATTAGAATATGTTCCATATGCAGATGCACCTCCTGATTTTTACATTATTATTTTAAATTCTTTTAGTTATCATTTCTAAACCTGTCAATAATAGGATAATACTTTGATTTATTGATTCGTGAGTTTAGTTTTAGTTACGTTAACTTGTTACTCTCTGTGTAGAGGCTCTGCTATGTGATGAGAAAATTGGTGTGCCTGCACCTCCCTCTAATTTGTTTTCTCTCTGTATTTTCTGACCTCAGTTACTATAAAATATTTTTAACATCTCAGAGCTTTTCATATTTGATTTCTGTTTTTTTAATTCTGACTACAAAGACCCATAAGAGATTATTTCTTTTCTACAAACCACCATTATTATTCTTTGATTTTTCTACTGGTTCTTTCTGAAGTAATATATAGTAAACAGAATGTAGTATATTATCATACATACTACCTCAACTAGTATTTTGACACGAAATAATGCAAATGTAATACATGCCCCTAAAACTATGATACCTGAACATAATCATTAAACATCACGTTTCAATCTATTATTTTAAAATATACTCCACACATTAATCAAAATCATGCCTTTTATGTGTTCTAAAACGTTGGAGTCATGTACAGATTTTTATTAATCTCTAAGTTATAAACTACCTTTCTTTTATTTACTAAAATATTCCAGATTAGAATACTGTTTATATAATTAAAAATATTTTCTTCTTGAAGATATTTTTCATGGGCTTTTCTGACTTCCTATTATACTTAATATCAAATGTGCTCTATGTATGTAAAACAATTGGCTAACTGGCATTTCCTTTCTTTGCACTTAAGAGTTATTTTCACTATTTTCCAAACAGAATGTCTTTTTTTTCTTTAATTTTTGTTGTTGCTGTTGGTACTTTGATATAGTTTCTCCTCAAAAGCACTCTTTAAAAAAATCAAAGGCAAAACATAAAACTCTAGGTGCTTTCTTACATAAAATTATTTGATGTCACACTTGATAAATAGGCTGGTGTCTTGGATCAGGTTTCCCAGAAAAAATAGAGCATGAGCCAAGACTTACATGCAAATGCAATCCCAGACAGCAAGAAGGAATAAAAAGCAAATTCATAGGCATCGTAACTAGCAGCAAAGATACACAGATGCTGTCTTTGAGAGTACATCAAACTGTGACTCAAAACAGGCCATCAGAAGAAAGAGGTGGGGGCAAGTTTATTATTAGGCTCTTCCTCTTGTCTCATTTCTTCCCTTAGTCAAAGTTTGTCCTGAGGGAAGATAACTCATCTGCACTTTTAGATTCCATCACCTGTTCTAGGAAGCAATTGAGGAAAGCAGACCTCTTTCTTTTATTCCAGTCTGGAATTGGTGAGCAGCCTCCAGCTTGAGGTGTGCCTGGCTGATCTATTTCAGGCTGAGATTACTGTGATGGTTACACATGGGTGTAAGGAATCTAAGAGGACCCATTTGATGGCCTGACAGAGTTGGCAATAAAGTTCTAGCTGTAGGGATTTTTTCATAGAAATTTAATGTTTTGCTTCATTGTCAACTAGCAATCACAATCACCAACAAAAGACTTGGTATGAACCTCATTTTGATTATCTTAAAGCTTTTGGAATTTCTTCGTTGTACTTGGATATAACGTATTTTAGGGCTAATAAATGACCACCAACATGCCAAATTAAGGATCTTTTTTTGTCAGGATATATCAATGTGTATATTGTTTCTGCTCACCATGCTTGGCACATAGTGATTTTATCAATCTGTATATCTATGCCTTTTGCTTAAGAAATTTTTTATAATAATACTATAATCACTACCCATTTTTCCTCCATTTTAATTTAATATACACTATTAGTATATTTTGGATTTCAAACTTTCTAATTCTACCCTAAGTTTCTTTTTATATTTTGGTCATATTTTCCATCTCTTTCTCACTGTGATCTGGTAGCAACAATTTACTTCTCTATTTTTTGGTTTATTAATTTGTTATTCACCTTACTTTATCAGTCAGCCACTTTATTTTTATTTCAATATTAGTTTGCTAATTTCTGAGAAATTTTACATGTTCTCTGATTCCTTTAATGTTTTCTATTGAATTTCTTGTTTTGTGAGAGTAATATTCTCTTAAATATCACTAAAGATACTTATTAGAATTGTGTTTTAATTTTTTTCTGCTCTTTATGTTAACTTTTATTTTTTTTTTCTGGTGTTAGTTGTTCTCTTTATTCAGTTGGTCTTCTCTTTCTTGCTTTTGTTCCCCTCAAATAATGGTGTAGTCATAGCAGTTTATTTCATCCAAAGTTCTTTGAATTAGTTTAAATAATTAATATACAAGATCTTTTGTTTATTGGTTTTTAAAATTACTTTTCTTATTTATTTTAAAATTCAGTCTTTTATCTTCTGTGGGAGAACTCGTTTTGGGCTCTGTCAAGTACACAGTGTCTCAGTTCTTTCAGGCTGCTGTAACTAAATACCATAAACTGGTAACTTACAAATAACAGAAATTTATTTCTCACGGTTCTGGAGGCCAGAAATCCAAGATCAAGGTGCCAAAAAATTTGGTGTTTGCTGAGAACACATTTCCTGGTCCATAGATAGATGGCTGTCTTCTGATTACAGTCTCACGTGGCGGAAGGCAAGGGAGCTCTCTGTAGCTTCTTTTATAAAAATTTTAACCCCCATCACACACTGGGTGTTAGAATTTCAACATATGAACTTGAGATTGAATAAACATTCAGTCTATAGTTGATGAATCTTATAGAAGTTTCTCTTTATAAGTCATAGTCAACAATTTGCCACCCATATTTAGATCACCCTGTTTTATCTGGAGGTGGAGTGTTTAAGTGTTACTCTCTTGGGTGTTGGTATCTCTGGTGTTTCCTTATTGGATCCATAATGAAAGTTAAAAGATAGGGTCTAGCAGGCTTCTTTATTCAGACCAAATACTCCATCAGGACCTTCCCTAAGGCTATTACTTAACTTTATTTCAAAATCAGTTATTAAAGACTTTAGCTGGGCACAATGAGGCCTCATGGCCTCTATCTGTGGATATCCACTATTCTGTGGATAGCTCTCTCATGAACCTAATAGTGCCCCCGACCCAATTATTGTCCTGGTTTGTTCATAAATATGATCTCATCTGCTTTCTTCCCATCATAAATAAATTACATTTTCCTTCTAACATTTATTTTCTTGTTTTATTTTTATTTGTTTAAACTTACCATAACATTCAGTTACATTTTTTATGGAAAGGAGGATTATATATTACTCAGTATGCTATTAATATACTGAATTGCAAATACTGTCAGTTTTCCTAAAAATTTACAAAATTGATTTTTATTTTTGCTAGTATTGTAGGTCACACATATGGGTAATCTGTACCTTACTTACTTCTCCAACCTCACTTGCTCCATGTCCCTTCCCACCTGACTAACCAGGCCACTCACACAACATTCCTGTGAATGATGCAAAGCTCCCCAACACATAAGCCTTTATAGAGCTAGCATAAATAACCTTATTCAGCTAACAAGTATTTCAGCACTCTGAGAATATTAGGAACTCCAGGAAAATTAATCCAAACCCAAAAGTTTTTATAAAGACCTGTGTCTATTGACAATTCTGGAAAAGAAGTATAAAAAACAGACCACAGTGGGCACAAGTAGATGACACATTGATTAGAATTGCTTGCTTAGAATTGTGCTTCTATCTTGCATTTTAGAAAAATTCACTTCAACATAAATTATAAATGTTTTGCACACAAACAATTTATTAGAGTTCAGGATGGAGACAAATATAATCTCATTCAATTCCTCAGTGTACATATTGAGAATTGAGATCCAAATAGTTTAAATTATTTTTAATATCACATATCTTAAAAATAGAACTCACTGATGATACTGAGTGGTGCTGTGTTTGTTTGTTTGTTGTTTGTTTTTGTTTGAGCCCAGTTATCCTGAAGAGTCACAGAAATTTTGAAAAGTCAGATCTGATTTTTCTTGGTAGCATTTGGAAGATATATTAATTTGTTTTCCAAATAGGCTGTTGCCTAATTATTGGTTCAGAGTAACTAAAACATGGCTCATTCAACCTTCTACATAGTGGTTATGCTGCCAAAACAAAAAGCTTGAGATGCAAGTGGCATGAATTATTAAGAAGAATGCCTTTACCACCTTAAAATTCTCTATGGGAAATATCACTATAGGAGAGATTAAGAGACTTGCTGGAGGATATGTCATCTAGTTTTGTAATAGATTTACTCTTTTTCTGTTTAACAGTATTCCTTATTTACTAAACAATAGGCTTCTTTACTAAACAAAAATTTAATGAATTTATTTCTTAAAATCTTAATTAGTAAATACTTAAGAAAATTCACTTGATTTTCACTAGTCTTCAATAGTTATGTTTTGCTGTGTTATTGGTATACATTAAATATGAACCCATTTAAGATATGTGTTGAATTATGCCAATTTGTTTATATTTTCATCATTAATGAGCTTTTCATCTGATCATTTTCAAGCAGAGAAGTTGCTAGGAATGAAAGTTATAGTCAGAGCTGCTCCAGGAATACTCAGATGGATTGGGGATGTCCAGTAAAATGTGTATGTAGGTTATAAAGTCCTGAAAGATTTAGCATGGCTCCATTTTTAATACTAAAAAGGTAAAATTTAATGCATATCTTTATTTTTCATCATGACAGGACTATTGTGCTATTTTTATGTTTGAACATATGAATCTGAGAACAAATGCAGAAAACTAACTACAAACTATCCAAAGAAAGATTAACATTTTTAAGACTAGTTAAAAATAAACTATTGTTTAAAAGAAAAATTACAAGGTCCACATTAGCTGACAGCATCATTACTTATTCAATCAAACAAACAGTTAAGTGTACAAAAAATAATAAAAATGAAAATCCCACAATTTGTGGTTTGGTAGGAAAGGGATTGGTTTGTTGTCCATGTTTTTATGTATTGAATTTAAAGTTTGGGAATACGTATTTCCCTAACTTAAACAGACATATCCCATCTGCAATCTGCCTCTTGCTTCTTAAGTCCAGAAGTTTCCCCTTCTTCCATCACATTGCTGACCCTTCCAGTTAAACATTTTCTATTATCCCTTCTAGCGTCTACAAGGAACTGGTCCTATTAATCACCCTCTCTTTCTCTTGTGTTTTATATTTTTTCCTCTCCCTGGCTGTTCCCCACATTATGTTAACATGCCCAAATCCCTCCTGACCTATTCCATTATCTCCCAAATGTAAGTCTGCAGTTTCTCACCTTCCATTCATTCTTCAATATCCTACCATCTAACTTTGTGCACCAATACTTACTTCATTGAGACTCCTTTTTAAAGGCCAGCACTGGCCTCTGACTTTTACATTCAGCTATGATCTTCTATTCTTATCTATTTGATCCTTCGGCAGTATGTGACCCTATAGAGCACTTCATCTTTTTATGCATCTTATTCTACTCTGACTTACTGGGGTACAATTCTCTTATGTATTCCTACTTCTCTGACCATTTCTTCTCAGTTGCCCTCACTGGCATTTTTTCTGCATTCCTGTTAGATGTTTGTGCTGCCTGAATTGGGCCCTCCATTTTCTACATTTTTCAGCCTTTACATTTACTGTGAGCATTCTCTGTACCATGTGAAATAAGAATATTGAGAGAAAGCAGAATAACCAGCCACTTCCAGTTTCTCACAGAGATTTTTGCTGTTTCATACCTTTGTGTTTCTGTATACAGAACTTCTCCTAGAAACCACCTGCATCTTCTTTATAGAATAGCCTTGACTCCTCTTTCAAAATAAAGTGTTTACAGTGGGGAACCTTCCAGATTTTGGAGGCATAATTTACCTGCCCCAATCTGTGTTTTCAGAAAACCCGTAACTTCCTCTCCCCAACAAATGCCATGAATTACTTATATGTTTCTTTATTATACTTTTCTAGAGAAAGGAATCAAGTGATAGTAAAATACATCTTCTGCTTATATGCTTAGCATATAGTGGGTTCTCAAGCAAATGTCTAAACTGAAAAATTAGCATTTTCATATTTTCTTTTTATTTATTTACTTGTCACATATTCCCTAACATCAAAATTGGAAAAGAAGGAAAAAAAAAGCCTTTTTTTTCTAGTTAGGTGTTTGGCAAATCTTCATCAAAAAAACTTATTAAATTATGTCATGCACCTCACATTTCAGTAGGTGTGCAAATTTAATATGTCTATTTTAAAATCCAATCAACATACTTCTCTTCCTTTGTAGCCTTGAAATTACCTTTCACAATCTTGTTTGCACAGATGTTCTTGCTTAAAATCAGTTTGTTTTGTATATAAAACTACTATGCCTATGATGAATTTGCATTTCTTTTTTTTTTTTTTTTTGCCACTGGAGATGTTCTCTTCTTGGTTATAGTAGCTCAAGGAAAATGAAAAACTCTAAGATCTATTTCTGTGTTCATGTGACAATCTGCATTAAACCTCTATAAATACATTTTTTTTCTCCTCTTGAGGAATTGATTATAGCAACCCAACTCCAAAATTCAGTTGAGGAAACCTATACTCAGCAATTATTTTATTGAAATACCAATATACCATAAAGTTGGGTTAAAATGAAGCCAACCTTCAGAGTTCAGTTTGCTGTTGCTATTATTTTTGCTCACATCCCATTGTCTCACTGAGCAAAGGGCTTTGTAGGGTACAACATCTCTCTAAAATACCAAAGCACAAAAAAAATTTGGGCAATAAAATATTACACCAGACTGCCCAGCCTCCAGCCTGTTTTTTATTGTTTTTAATTGTATCCATATCATATATCAGGCTGACAATTGCGCATATCATGCTGACTTTAACAAACACAAAAGAATCTAGAATCTTGTACGTGGTTCATTCACAAAGAAGCAAAGCAATTTGTAGATGTGTTGACTTTAGTGCAGTGGATGTTCCCCCATACCTTTGTGTAGCAGATACAGAGCAGTAGTTACAAGAAAATTCATTAAAAAATTTAAGTATGATGGTATAAAGTGTTACTAATTTTTAACATGATTATTTCCCCTTATAAGTAGTTGGAGACAAGCAAAATCATTTGTATAAAATAATTTCTGTACTTTATGGCAGCTAAGAACATACTTACTTCTCTTTATCATATTTGATTCAAACTACCTAATCTGCAGTTAAGCTATGGGCCACTAGTCTACTTATTCATCTTACTCTGAAATTTTGGAAGCAGTTTTTAAAAACTTTCCCCAGGTTGTACTTAATTCTTGCTTTTTGTTGTTAAACACAAGTTGCCAAATGGTACTATTTTCACCTGCCTTTGCTTTATTTCGTCAGTCCCCTCCTTTGACCCATCTCTGCTCACCTGTAAAACATTAGACGTGTGAATAAAATTAGCAATAAAGAGCCATCAATCAAAGGCTGGAAAATTCAAAGAGCACTATTCTGATATTTAAATTGCTGATGTAAACTGAAATTTTCCTTGTATTTTGGCCACAAGAAAGAAACTCTTTTTTTGCTTCCCTGTTTTTTAATCTCTTTTAAATTTTTCATATTCTGTATTATTCAACTCTCTCCCGTTTTATCACTGGATCACTATTTTCCTGGCTGCCTCTCCAGGTGGCCCTTATCAGTCCATCACCAAAATTTCCCTTTATCGAATGTCCAAAACCAGATATGTATATGATTACTGCATTCACTTCTCCTAGAATCTTAGAATTGTGTGTATATGAGGACTTTTCTTGATTATACACTACAATAGATCTGTTCAGTTGTTCTTATCAGATTTTTAGTAGCACAAGCCAAAAATTTGGATAAGATGTTTCATCAAACAATACCATGTAAAGTCATGAGTGGAGGAACATGCACTGTCATGTGTTTGAGCATTGATTTTTTTCTCTCGTCTTTTTGCAGGTATTATTCACCTTGCTTTTGTGTTTGCAACCTGTGTGTCTACACCTAAGCTCCCTGCCATTATAAATAATGTTTAGTGGAGTTTCTATCCTTATCCCAAACCACATTTAGGACATATTGTTATTGACATGTCAGTGCCTGAATTAGATATTGGAAGTCAATGGTCCCATTAATAAACGTAAACGGCACTTTTAGGTGCCATTAAACAGTAAACTGTATTTTTGATATGTCTTTGGTGCTTGTAAACAAACATCCAGTTATGCCATTTAAAATGTAATATATTTTTAAATCCTTTGGTGATGTATTTAATTAATTTATACTTAATACAGCACTGAATTTTCAGAGTTTAAATTGTGAATTTTTTTTTTTTTTTGAGATGGAGTCTAGCTCTGTTGCCCAGGCTGGAGTGCAGTGGCGCCATCTCAGCTCACTGCAAGCTCTGCCTCGCAGGTTCATGCCATTCTCTTGCCTCAGCCTCCCGAGTAGCTGGGACTACAGGCACCCGCCACCACGCCTGGCTAATTTTTAATATTTTTTGTAGAGATGGGGTTTCATTGTGTTAGCCAGGATGGTCTCGATCTCCTGACCTCGTGATCCGCCCGCCTCGGCCTCCCAAAGTGCTGGGATTACAGGCGTGAGCCACCGTGCCCGGCCTCAGTAGTTTTATAGAAGACCTGCTTTACAAGGAGACAGCTACTGTTAAATGTTTAAGAGCACATACACAAAGAGATAAGGAAAAGTAATACATAAAACCATTCAGCAGATTGAGGCAGTTTGGGCCTCATTCTCCCCAGTTATTTCCATTGGCATATCTGAAAGTAGGAAAATGTCCAAGAGAAATTGAGTTGGTGCGGATCTCAGATGAGGCCCAGAACAAATGATGACAGTTTCTTTACAGTGTTAACTGCCCCGGTGGTTACCCAGAACTGCATTCTCGTGAGACCATCAAAATGGTGACATAGAGAAATCAGACCACCAGGCTGAGGATGCATTCTCAGGAGACTGTTTCAGTGTCATTTTCAACCATTGTTTTAGCCCATTTGATGATAGGAATTTTAAGCTTATTTGAACTCTGGAGCTGTTCTAAGAAGTTACCCAAGTTAATGGAACGTGGGAAGAAAGTTATATTCTCCAGGATTCTGCAGCCATGGGGGATGTGCATTTGATGTGGCCAGTTAACAGTGGCAATGATGAGGCAATTGAAAGTAACCAAAAATTCATTATCCCTCATAGGCATAAGCAAACACTGCACCTAGTATTTAGGAAGCCCAGGAGTACTCAGTACACATTCTCTAAGCATCTGGATAGCAAGTGCTTCTGTGGCTGATTTCTATGAACAAGTATGAAATAATAATAAAGAGATACATAGTTGGAATTTAAATTCAACCCAAAAGAAAAGCAAACCTGCCAAAAAGAAATGTTGATTATTTATAGTAGGAAACACAGATTTCTAAATCACACTGAATTGTAATATAATAGAGTCTTTTAACTTTTTAAAAGCTTAAAGTTAGGTATAGAAAGTAATTTGTCAGTAAACATCTTTAGAGCTAAAGTGGTTTGTAGTTGAGAGTGCCAATAAAACTTTTCTAAATGGAGTTGATTTATTTTTTAAAAAAATGGTTGATTTCTGGGTTTACTTTTATAGTAATTAATCTGACCAGGCTTAGCAACTTAGACTGAGTCTCCCTGGTCTCAAAATTTGAGTATTTTAGATAACTTTCAAAGACTTTTTAATTTTAACTACAATCTAAGGCTAAACAAAAGAATAGCAGGTATTTCAACAAGTGCTATTATAATGTCTGGTTTCATTTTCCTTAATAAATGTATTTTTGCTAATCTGATTATACCAATTCTATCAGTGAAAATTTCTGCATGACCTAATTATTTAATCATAGCAATGTCTTCTATTTATATGAAAAGTAACACTTTTTGAAAAATAGACATTCCTGTGTATTATTTCAATACTAATTCCTTTTGCATAAAAACGTTATACTATGGTATGTTTAAAAAAACAGAGGAGTGTATATTATGTTTCTTTTTATCCCAAGATCTTAGATGAGAGGCTGGTATATAGTAGGTGCTCAATGAATTATTACTAAATGAATGAATAAATGCAAAAATTTTATGCTTTGTGGTAGAATTGTAAATGTTATATAAGAAGTTTTGGTGACATGTACAAAGTTTGTATTTGTTCTTTAAAGAAATGAGAATTTGGAATTTTCTGTCAGTAAACTAGTAATATCTGAGTTGAACATTCTGATTTAAAGGGGTTTCTCTTCCCTGACCTCTCCTGTAGTTGGCATGGCTTGGTGCCAATGGGCAGTGGCATATCCCTGAACTAGACAGTGAATTATTTGAAGGCATACATTTCTTTTCTCTTCCTGTCCAGATTATGGTATGAAGGAGGTACACAGTACACATATTCTTTAATTAATAGAAAATAATTTAGTCTTCACAGAGAAGTAATTAATGACCAAGATCAACATTTGGATTTTCTGGGTTTTTTTTTTTTTTGTAACTTTAGGGTAGTTATTATTCTGTGGAATAAAACATTGACCCCAAAAATAAGCAATTCAAAAATAAGTTGTATTTAGCAATAAGATGGATAAAAGCAGATTTTTTTTTTTTTTCCATAGGAGAAATGCTTTTGTGCAGGGTGGAACTTTATTGCTATTGATCAAATGTGGTTATAGTGAAAACAGCATTGCTACCATCTAAGACCCAGGGCACAAAACATTGAGATGGTAGCTAGCCATCAGTGGGGTCTATTTGGAAGTAAAATGGTTGCAATGAATGTCATTACAAGAAATACGGTTCTTCTCTGTGTAATAATTTACACTTTATAAATTACCTTCACTTATATGATTTCATTGGAACTCCACAGCAGCCATGTGAAGCAGATAGAGGGGTTCTTACGATACCCATTGTATAGGTCGCAGTAGGAACTAGTAATTTTGGAACTTCTAGGCCCACACTCATTGCTTTGGCATTTCGATTGACTTATGAGTTGATGTTTGGTTTGCTTTGTAGTTCTTGGAAAAGATGAGGGGTTATATCCTGATTAGTCTTTCTGAGATAGTACATTGAAAACTGCATGGTGTATTGACAGAAAGAAAATAATAATATCACTGAATGTATATGTCATTCATGTCTCTGCATTACTTTTAGAAAGAACTTTCAATTGGATTTAGTTTTCGTGTTTCCTTGGAGAGAAAAAAAATGAATGTAATGTTGTCAGGCAGATATATATTTAATTACCATCCATCTCACCAGAGAATAAACCTGAATAAATGAGACAAAGAATGATTCACTTTACTTCTGTAAAAAGATCCTGAGTAGCAGATACTTTCTGCTGAAAATAATTTCAAAACCAGGGGCTGCAACACAGGCTCAGTCGGTAACCATATAAGAAATCTATGAGAAGAGTGACAGAAAGAGCATAGCATTTGGTATTAGTGACTTCTCATTTCAATATTGGCTAAATTTCTTTGTAATTATGTGACCTAAAGCAAGTAAATTTATATATATTTTTTAAATCTACAAATGAAAACTTTTTTTTTTGTATTCTTAAGGTAGTTGTAAAGACTTAAGATAACATCACAAGATCTTGACTGATAAGTTCTAGTGATTTAAAAACTATTAACTGTCCTCACCATTTTCACTTCCTTCTAAGTCCCTGGTAAGTGAGGCTTCAAGTCTGGCCAAAGTTCAGATCCAGTGAATGCTGCTGGGAGAGGAAACATGATGTGTGCATTGGGCAGAAGGAGTATAATTTGTTAATATAGAGCAGGGAGGGGTCTGAAAACAAATGTTTAAAAGGAGGAGTCATGCTGCTGTCCTGTCTGGGTCCCATTTCTTAACTGAACTTGCTTAAGAACTCGTGAAAATTCCCCTTCTCCTTGCTAATTATCTCAGTGACTAGTTCTTTTTGAGATAGCAAAAAACATTATTACACCACCACCACCACCACCACTAACTTTTATGAACATTTATGGTACTTATTGAGAATATACAATTCTTATAAAAGTCAAGAAAGGAAATGGGATAAATATAACTAAAAATGATAAGAAATAAGTAAGTTAATAACCTGTGAGATGCTATACATAGCTAAAGTAAGACAAGCATGTGTATGAAAATAGAAATGGAAAGAAAAATCAAGTAGACATGAAATAACCATGATTTACTAAGTATTTAAGAGACAGCATATATTCATAAAATACTATATTAATATATGACACACTGTAGTTACTCAATATGCAGGAGATTTAATTGGGTTTTTCATTGATGACACTCATTACAGTTCCATGCATCTTCTTCAAATAAAACTCATAGCTGCTCATGTCAAGCTACTTGTCCCTCCATCTCTCTGGCACAGAAAAGCCTTCAATTGGTCCCTGGCACTTCTGACCTTATTAAAAGCCCTCAACTCAAACCTCAACTCTGATACTCATAACCACACGACTGGGGGAGAAGATTTGCATGGGAGAGAGAGATTAAGAACACAGGCAATGTGTTTCTTACCCATTTATACCATACTGTAAGTATGTTAACCTACCCTCTTTTCTTGTTCCTTGTTTTTCACTGTGGTAATTGGCCTGATAGCATAGTTGGAGGCTATTATTGCAATGAGGCAATTTCTCACATGACAAAAACCAATAAAGAAATTCTAAAATATTACTGCAACAAATTTATAATATATGCAGTCTACAAATCCTATTATGTCCAATGTTTGGTTTCATATCAGGTTCAAAATGAAATTTAAATATTGGTATGCCGTTCCTTATACACTGGAGGTTCTTCATCCCATAGCCAAAGTAATTCTGCAATGTAATTTCTTAACATAGAAAAGAACCCAAAAATGGAAATTGTGATTTGTTGATATTTTGCATGGTCTTGTCAGTGGGTAAAATCCAGTAACGTTTGCCTATTAAAAATGCTACTTGATGTAGCAAAATAGAGGGTTTTCGTTACACAAAACCAAAATATAAAGTAATATGTTTGAGTCAAGAGAGTAGACTAGGATTTTCCCACAGAGACATGGAGTTAGGAACAATATATGGACTAAACTAACTCTATGAGAACTCTAGCAACCACTTGAAAAGATTTAGCACCTGGCTATTGTAAAACCAAAAAGGGTTTTCAGCAAGAGGGGTAGAATATTCAGACATTTGGACCACCCAATTGTGTCCTTCCTTTTATGTGGCATTGAGGAAGCAACCAGGATGAAATTCTGCATACAAGAGCTCCTCCGCTGGGAGGGAAATGAAAGAGTTGATCTTGTGTCCAAGGTTTAGATTTGTCTGAGGGCTACCTGAGGGAACGGCTTGAGTCCTGCCTGTCAGAGTGCTGGCAGAATCAGTGTAGAGTTTGGAAGCTGTTTGAAACGGAGGTGAACAGCACATTAGAGCTGCAGTCCCATAGGTAGAAGCCAGGGAGAACAGGAGATTTGGAAAGGTTTGAAAAAAATTCTAGCTGAGCTGATAGGTGAAGGTATTCAGCTGTAAGAATCCAGTACACATAGATGGAAAGAGATGATGGTTTCTTTGAATGCTGAAATCCTGGCAAAAATTAAAACCAAAAATAAAAATATAATAAAGCACACAAAAGAATAGGGAAACATTGTTCAATTGACAGATCAAATTAAAACTCCAGAAATGGATCCTAAAGAAATGCAGATAAAGATGTCTAATGAGCTAGAGAGGAACACAAATAGATAAATGAAGATGATCGAAAAATGACACATGAAAAAACTGAGAATATCAACAAAGAGATAGAAACTGTTAAAAAGAAAAGCAGAAAAGCAAACAGAAATTCTGTATCTAAAAATTTAATAACTGAACTGAAAAAATTACTAGAGGAGTTCGACATCAGAGCTAATTGGGGAGAAAAAAAAATTGCCAACCTTGAAGGCAGGTTATTTAAAATTGAGTCAGAGGAGCAAAAAGGAAAAAGAATGAAAAAAATGTAAGGGAGTATAAGAAACTTATGAGATAATATCAAGGGGACCAATATATACATTATGGGAGTCTCAGAAGGAAAAGAAAGAAAGAAACACAGGGATTATTTGAAGAAATAATGTCCAACACTTCTCAAATATAAGAGGAAATGAATATATTGATTTAAAAAGCTTAAAAAACTCCAACTAAAATAAACTCAAAAAGAACCACACCAAGACACATAATGATCAAACTGTCTAAAGTCAAAGACAAAGAAAGAATTGTGAAAGCAGCAAGAGAAAAATTATTTGTCACATACAAGGACAGTTTCTTGTGAAAGGAAGGAGAATTTAAATAGTAAAAGTATATTAAAATAGTAATATACATAAATTTTGTTCATTCATTTATTCATTGCTTCAAATACAAGATGTAAGAGAGGATCGGAGATAATAGTGTGGATGCTTGAATCGGGATGCCTGGGTTTGAAGGCTGGCTTTGCCATTTAATATATGCATGAGCTTGGGCAAGTTCTTTAATCTTTCTGTGCTGCTGATCTCTTTTTGTGTGTAAAATAGAGGTAATAACAGAATAAAGCTTTTAGTTTCGTGGTGATTATATGCATCATTATATATTAGAAGGGTATGAGGTATAAATTAGACATCTGAGTGTAAACTCTACTATTATGAATGTGTTCTTTTATCAAAAGTCTACTATGTTCAAAGTGATGAGCTACAACATACAGAATATGAAATAAATATTTAGTCAAGTTCTGTGTAATAGAGGATCTTGTAGTTTAGCAGAAAATATGGATGGAAATAGTACACATAAGACGCACACATAAGAGACAATCAAACTGGGTGCCAGAGAAGGAAGAGCAAGAACAGCATGTTGGGGATATTAGGGAGGGCTGACATCTGAACTGGTTCTTGAGGAATATATTTGATTCCATGTACTGTGGGGAAAAGCATTTCAGCCATCAGCCAGAGGAAGTAGAGTGGAGGCTATGCTCTAGAAATATAGTCTAGTCACATTTAGGTATAGTTTGGAAAGAGGTGAGAAAATTATTATAAACAATGAAAAGTGGATTTAAAACACACAATGCCAACACTGAGCACCAGAATAAAGACCAACCAAAAGAGGTAAGAAAGGTTATCTTGTCACTGAGAGTGGCTTCCAAAGGTGTAAAAACATGCATGTTTTCTACATTATCCTCCTTAGTGCAGCATAAGTTCAGCTTCAGAGAAGACATGCCTGGCCTCTCTGCCCTGGCATAATTTCCATCTATCTGCTGGAATACTAAGGCAGGGATGTATGCTGAGACACATTTATTGTTTTGTTAATTGCATCTTTGCTCTTTCTGGTTATTTTGAGAGGGAGAGAGCTAATCCCAGTCTGTTTGCCTGGGTTTGCTCCACCCATTCATCTTGAAAAGATTTGTCTAAATTAATATGACTGACAATAGTATTGTTCAGATGATTGGCAGGGAAAACAAAACAGTGTTTGGAAGCCCTGTGAAGCCCCTTTTGATTGGAGGAGTTAACACGTATTGTCGTGGCATTTAAACTTTGAAGTAGTTGGGTGGCTAGGTAATATTTTGCAGAATCAAGCTTTACATTTAGGATGGCAAACAGGGTGGTTTCCAGATGATGCTCTAGAGACAAATTTTTTTTTTCTAAGAATTGTTTTCAAATGTCCGTTTGGAAAAGAAAAATGGCTTGTTAGAAGGAGGATAAAAGGTTAAGGCCCTTTGGGAATTAAAAGGTTATGAAGGGAATACTTTAATACTTTCAGATGAAGATCAGTGGTCACTCGTGAACATCACTGGTGAAAAAATGAGAGAATTTTGTCCTTCCATCCAATTTGTACTTTGCACTGCAGGAAAAGGGACATTTTTATTATCTATATTCAAAAGCATTGATTGAATGCCAAGTATACACTACATACTGTATCAAATGTAGAATTAGACAATTCTTTACTCAGGAGGAGTATGATTTAAATGATATTTTTCTAAACCATGTCACAATAGGAAAATAATAGGTTCCATTTTCTTCCCAGGATTCGTTTCCATCTTTTCTCACTTTCCAGTGTACATTCTTCCTTGACATCAGCAAAGCTCACTTTTTCATGTAAAGCAAGAAACTTCAGAGAATGATTTCTTAAGCACTACTGCTATTTTCCATCATTTCCTATTTCTAGAAGCAGAATTTCCTTGACAAAGTATTTCCTAGGTATAAGTCTCAACTAAATAACTATTTAAGGTCCTTTTAGTAATCTATGGGGACAAAAGTGTACCAGCTAACAGAATCCATCGTTTTCTCTCAATTGTCCCCCATTTTGTTCATTTTCAACTTTCAATTTCCTGTTTCTTTATCTTAATGGCTCAGAAATATTATCATATATTTCACTTTTGCCTTCCACATTGAAAACTATTGTAAAACCTTTAATGGTGAACTTGGAAGAACGCTTATGTCAAGTAATCATCAGGCTCCCATAAGATGAACTGAAACCCCTGTTTCTGAAAGTCCTTTATCTTCCTACTCCACACCACTTAATGGTTTGTTCTTTTGAAAGTTTTCCAAAGCCTGATACACAATAACTTAAAGTCTACTATTTTAGTAAAGACCAGTCTTAGCTATTTAATAGGCTGATTGTTAAGCATAACACACACACACACACACACACACACACACACACGTGCTCATTTCTATAATTAAAAAGATGTAGTCGAGCCGGACATCTCTATTTCCTGCTCTTGTTACCCAAAATTGGTTTCTCTTGTCATGAGTCACTAATGGAATCTAAGGACACAAAGCAAAGTACTCCCTTACTCAGATATTGAACTGTGTGTAAGTAATCAAAGGCTAAGGGAGCACCTGGCTCCTTTTGAGCACCTTCCTGAATTATGACAAGCTGGGTTTCTTTTGTCCACCTTCAAGTGTTATTTAGCCTTGAAGAAAATTATATGGATTAGATGGAGTGAAAAGTTGAAGGAGCAAATTTTTAAACTTTATTCGAAAAACCAAA
This sequence comes from Homo sapiens, assembly GCF_000001405.40. Lineage (NCBI taxonomy): Eukaryota > Metazoa > Chordata > Mammalia > Primates > Hominidae > Homo > Homo sapiens. The sequence continues at coordinate 91,756,576 of NC_000006.12, read as the reverse complement.
TAGGAGAAAAAAGATTGTTACAGAGCCTAACAACAAAAGCTGTGCGTTAAGTGCTTTGCTATCACCAAGATGTATAAATCCATCTGAAAAATAAAATAACCATTACAGATGGAAACTTATTGTGAGCCAAAGTGAATGTTAAGTTAGTAAACAAAGTACATTTCTTCATATTTATACTCTTGTTACAGTTCTTAAATGGAGGAACGTTATTTTGTCTTTTGTTCTATAATATACAAGCACATTACCATAAAGTTTATTTTAGTTCATCTCACCTTTATTTTCACTCAAGTTCATTCCAAAAGGAACAATGTTTATTTACTTTCAGTTTGCTGCCTGGTCCTTTGCATCATATCTGGTGATCAACCTTGATATGTCAAATTAGCAGTATAATTTCGTTTTCTTGCTCTTTAAATCTAACTTTTCTTTTCTTTGCTTGGCGTTATGTGTGACTTCAGGTCCTTGATATTACTCTTCAGATATGTCAATCATATTTCCTCAGAAGAGGACAAACATCTCCAGCCAATATTTACCTTTATTCCCTCTAGATTTTATTTGTGTCACTTTGCAGTGAATGTAAAATGTGTATCATCACATTCTCAGAAAAACATGATATTTTACTCTGTGGATTCTCAAAGGTCCTCCTTAAAGAGTTACCTTTGAAAGTCCTTGTCTCTTTTCTCTTTTGTCACCACTTTATTTACAGGCTATATCCTTAATTAGAAAGAACTACATTTGACAGGATAAATTAAAGAAGCTAGAATTGAGATCCCTGAATTGATTACAGTGGGCAGTGCTGAGTCACAAATGTGCTCCCCCACATCTTTCTGATCCCCTCCAACTCTCTCCACTTCACTCTTGCCTGATTGAAACAGCCCCAGTTGCAGAGATGCAGTGGAAGGGCAACTACCATCACCTAACCTACCTGTGTAAACGTTATATATTATCCACAGACTTAATAAATAATAAATCCTAAAAGTAATACAGATAAACAAGATACAGACTATATTGCTAACATCAGTTTTAAAAAATACTACATTTTGCCCATTTGCCTCAGATTTTCAATATAATAAAATAAAACATGACAGACAAAATCTCCCAACAAGTCCCTTTTCCCTATCTCCCTAGGTAATATTTTGCAGAATCAGGCTTTACATTTAGGACAGCAAACAGGGCAGTTTCCAGATGACGCTCTAGAGACAATTTTTTTTTTCTAGGAATTGTTTTCAAATATCTGTCTGGAAAAGAAAAATGGCTTGTTAGAAGGAGAATAAAACGTTATCTGTATCCTGAAAGTAATACAGATAAACAAGATATAGACTATATTGACTATATTGATATAGACTATATAGACTGTATCACTCAAATAGCAAATAACCTGAAATTTTTCCAAATAGTTTTCATGTGTGTATCTATAGAAATATATGGTAAGTATGGTAGATTAAATTTTTATTATTTTCTATAAGACAAGGCATCATAAGCAAAGTTAAAACACAACAAATTGGGAGAAGATATTTGTGAAGCAATTAAATAACAAAACTTACTAAAAGAAAAATAATTCCATAACCTTAGACAAAGAGGACACAGCAAAAAACATGAGCAGGCATTTGAAAATATTAGTTTCCAAGTGGAATGTGTCTGCACACATTGTGTGTGGGTCTTATCTGCACACACGTGGGAGGGCAGCTATTCAGATACTCCACAAATAGAGATTCAACAAGGTATCAGTTCTGGCACTTCATCACCCACTCCATCAATCTGCATTATTATTCCTGTTTGTGCAGAAGAGGACTCAATTCTGATGAATAAAACTCTAAAGATTTCAAACTCAGAAACAATTACTCTAAGAAGTTCCTCTAGAATCTTTCAACCTTGCATCTCTGAATTAGGTAATTCCCAATGCCACTTGATCAATAATTTGTTTAGCACCTTCAGTATGTCCATTTTAAAAAAAATGAAATGGTTAGAATGACATAGTATCTTTTCCCAAGAATGACATGGAAATAAATTTGAAATTCTGCAGGTGCCTTGACAGAAATGGCTGCGTTTATTTATTCTTATATCCCTTGCATATAATGTGAATTTAATGAAAATAGCATAAAAATTCTTTATAGTAATTATGATATTAAAACCTGTGCACAGAAATACTGTTTTGTTTTATGCCAAGCCATATTTTTGAGGTAGACTCATATGTCTAAAAAGAGAGGCAGGGAAGGTTTTTGCTGTTTGCACTCTCATGTTGGTGGTCCTCCCTCTCTCTCTGTCTCTCTCTTCATTGCCAGAGAACACACCAAGTGAAGGATGGCAAATAATTAAGGGAACACGTAGGTATGTTTTTCCCCAAAATAAATGGACACATATGAAATGACAAGAAAAAAAAAATATATATATATAGAGAGAGAGAGACAGAGTCTTACTCTGTCACCCTGGCTAGAGTGTAGTGGCGCGATCTTGGCTCACTGCAACCTCCACTTCCTGGGTTCAAGCAATTCCCCTGCCTCAGCCTCTTGAGTAGCTGGGACTACAGATGCACACCACCATGCCCAGCTAATTTTTTGTATTTTAGTAGAGACGGGTTTCACCATGTTGGCCAGGCTGGTCTCAATCTCCTGAACTCTTGATCCACCCGCCTCTGCCTCCCAAAGTGCTGGGATTACAGGTATGAGCCACCATGCCCAGCCTACAAGAAGAAATTTTAAAAGGAACAGAAATAAAAAGTAGTCAGTTACAGAAACTTTTTCCTTTTTGTAAGTTATTTACAGTGTTTGTCATGGTTCAAGAGTTGTCAAGAGCCAACCATATTCTATGTCACTTTTTTCATAAACCTGGTTTTGGATTATACCTGTGCATTAATTCAGCTGTTCCAAGAAATAGATGTCAAGTCACGTAAAAGACGGGGAGCTGGGGGGATGTCTTTGAAGGATGAAAGGAAGGAAGCAGGAACAAGCAGAGGGAGCTGGAGCTCATGATACAGTTCTGACATATAAAAGGAGAAATGCAAGGAAAGAGGACAGGGCAGAAAGAGGACAGAACAGCTCTAAAGAGATTTTGGCCTTGCCAATGGGAAATCCCCAAGCTAAAGTCAAAGCATATGATCTTTGGCTGTGTACTTTTTGTCTTGACACTTGGTGAATCTGCACAGTGAGCAGTAGAAGATTTATGGAAAATAAAACATATTCAAGGTCAACCAATTTTGGGGAGAATAGCCAGTGAATTTAAGTGTCATATAAAGAGGCAATGCATCTATGGTGGGCAGACTTTAAAGTTTTCCTAATTACCATCCCACCTCTTGGTACTTGTGTCCTTATGTGAGCTGGGCACACTGGCATCCATCTGTAGTCCCAGCTGCTCAGGAAGCTGAAGTAGGAGGAAACCTTGAAGCCTGCAGTTCAAGGCTGCAGTGAGCTATGATTGTGCCACTCATTCCAGCCTGGGTGACAGAGTAAGATCCCATCTCTAAAAAAATAAATACACACACACACACACACACACACACACACACACACACACAACTTATAAGCTTATATAATTCTCCCCTTCCCCCTTGAGTTCAGACAGAACCTGTATCTTGCTTCTAGCCATAGAAATAATATGTTAGTTCTGTGATTAGGTAATATAACATAATGAAATCCATTGTACTAAAAGATTCTCTACCTTGCTGGCTTTGATAAAGGTGTCATTTAGGGGAGTCCCACATGGCAGCAAACTGATTGTGACCTCCAGTTCAACATTAGGAACTGAAGTTATCAATGCAACAACACTTGAGGGACGAAAATTCTGCCAAAAATCATGTGAGCTTGGAAGTAGATACTTCCCCAATTAGACCTTCGGATGAAATGTAAGCCCTGGCTGACACCTTCATTGTAGCCTTGTGAATGATTCTGACTCAAAGTATCTAGCTGAGGCATTTCCATATTTCTGAAGCACAGAAAATTCAAAATAGTAAATGTATTTTATTTTTCCTAACTAAATTTCTGATAATTTGTTTTTCAGCACTAAACAACTAATATATCATTCTAAAACATAGGGGAAATGTGTGCCAGGTATATAGGCGTTTTAGGACCTTATTTAAAATGTTTAAATGGATTTTGTGATATGTATGTTTTTTTTCAGACTTTTAGAATTTAATTTTTTTCACATATTCAAATTGTCAATTAATGATTTATTCGTTTTTATGTAGTAAATAGGCTCTGAAAAAAGTGGCTGAAACAGTGAGTTGCTAAGAATATTGTCTGCTTCTTCACTATGAAGAAATTACTCAAAATTATGTTTACATATAACAATTTACTAGTGGTACACTCCTCCTTTTCCTGTAGTTCACTTTGATGTAATATAATGTCATCTCCCATCCCTTAATTGCCCTTATGTTCCACAATAAATTGAATTTAACAGCATGAAAATCTTAGATGTCATAGTAATCTGAATGAGTAGGTAGTAAAAAGTCTACAGATATAAATTATCCTTAGACGATAAAAATTACCTGCTCACAGAGTTAATTTAATCTGGTGATTATGTAGCAAATATATGGAGAGACAGGACTTCTGAGTTCTTTGTGTTAAATGATATACTGCCATTTTATTTTTGAAAATTCAAATTTGACCCAATATGTTGAATGCAACATGCTGCCTCCAGTTCCACATAATATCCCACAATTTAGGGAAATGAGTCACTCTTATAGGAGGATTTGGCATTCTTCTTGCAGTGCAAATCCATTCTTTCATCTCCGATAGCAGGTGTTAATGTAAATTCACTGCACACTTTTGGAAAAGGGGAAGAAGCTAAAGGTTTGGGCTGTTTGCAAATCGCCTGTTATTGTACCTCTTTAAACTACTCTCTTTGACTGCATGAGGCTTTGATAGCTCATCTAGTTGCAATAGCATGAGCGTAACGCTGCAGGCATGAGACGATTGGGGGCAGTGTGTTATTGACAGAATATTCTGAATGATGATTTATTATGAACATCAATGGGAACAACACTCGTTCTTTCTAAAAAGCCTGTTTGTTCCTCTTGCCTCACCTGGGAGGAGCACACTGCCCAGGACTGAGGCACTGTTTATACTGTTATTTAACCTTCTTTACAACTGCTGCATTTTTACATGGGTTGGCAAATTTTTCAGGTCTCTATTTTGATGACTTATGAATCATTTAGACTTGTGACATGCCCAGATATATCTGAAAGCAAGACAATTTGGCAAGAAATAAATAAAATAAAAAAGAGAGAGTTTCTATGATAAAAAGCAGTTTTCCTTTGGATCACAGTTGGTTTCCCAAAAAGAATAGGAGATGCTTATAGAATGAGGGCATTTGTGTAGATTTTATGCTAGAAAACAAAGAACATTTTGTATCATGTGTATTACAGGCAGGCTAAAACACAAAACTGATAATTACATACCAAATAGCACTGGACACAACCACCTCCCTTGGCTTCTTCCTAGGCATTTAGTGCATCAGTTTATCTTGGTTCTAACGCTGTCTGTGTGAACATTTAGTTTTCTCTTCTTAGATCAGTTAGGTAAATATTTAAAAATAAAACAAAACAAAATAAAACTGTCCTTCTAGGTGCAAGCAGACTCTTGCTTTTAAGCAAATTGAGATATTACTTATCGGGATTTTAAACAATAAAACAAAATGTAATGTGTAAAATTAAAAATAACAAACCAGTGAGAGAGAAAATCCTAACGAAGACTTTAACCAATGTATTAAAACAAAATAATTTAAGCTGTAGTTCAAATTTCAAAGTTGATTTATGTTATATATATATATACACACACACACACACATATATTCACATATATATACCATTTCCCATCTGTTAATTATATATCTGTGTATATATATTTACTCTGTCATTCATTAATTTTATCTGTATGTATAATTTTTCATTCCTTCCAGATTAGAAAATTCTATATCACATTATAGTTCACAGGAAACGCCAGCAAAGAGTCAATGTCATTCTCAAGGAGTGCTGATTATTGACTGAAAAATATAGAAAAATTTCTCCTTTAAACTAGTTACTTAGTTTTGTCAGATGCTAATTAAAAGATACATTACATTTGAAAGTAACTGAAAATTGTTGAATGATAATGATAGTTGTGAAAACTATCTGCAACCTGCTATTTTGTAGAATTCACCTGTGTAAAGTATGTCTCCCTATTTCTAGAGCATTTGGATATTTGGATGTGACTTTTGAGTGTGTTCTATATGACCAAAATGACATGCTGGATAGTCAAGTTTCAGAGTTTGTGTCAGGAAGAAGTACAACTTTGGCAAAGTCACATAAAATCATAAAATAGAAATTTTTAACAATATCAACCACTTTATGAATAACTTTTTTTCAATATTCAGCATTATTTACTAAGTAAAACCACAGTCTTGTGTTTGTCCAGTTCTTCAGGCAAATATGTATTTTGACATATTTACAATATTCTGTGTTTCTATCAACACTGAGTCAAGATTTGGTCCAAATTGCTGTCCTTCACTGTAAATCAAGCTACCCGTGTGTTGCCACTGAAGGGCAACCTCCTCTTTACAAAGCACATGTGGCCTTTCTGCATATACAGTTTACATGACATTAATATAGGTTCCAGTCTTTATCATGACTGACAAAGTAATCTTAGCCACACAAAACAATGTTAATTTTTTTGCATGGGTTTTAATTATGAAAAAAAATCGTCCTTCCCTATATGTGCACCATCCATTGAGAGAGAGCTGCTTCACACTGCAAGTCAGTGGTTTCTCCCAAACGTAATGTAAAATATCTGCTCAGAGATATGTGATGGTAAGCATTCTTCTGTATTTTATGCATGTATAGTATGCAATAGCCAATGAAATTATTTGATAAAGACTCTTTCTATTTTCTCATCAAACTTATTACCCTCAATGAGGCACTTATGTAGTATTGGTCAGCCTTTCCTCCACTGGAAAATATGATTTTTCACTTGCTTTTGAAGGCCTTGGCTCTTTTAAGAGAAATATTTTTTCTTTAGTTTAAATTTTCAAAATGTTCAATGGCTTTATTCTTATCTTTAATAAAACTTCATAATGTTTGGAACTAGAAGAAAATAAAATTCTGGTCTAATAAAATTGAGTTTCCTTTGTTTTTAGATCTCCATTTTGCCAAATTATAAGCACATTTTTGGACTTCTAGGCAAAATTGTCACACTTACAAATTCAATTGTCCCAGCATATACGGATTCACAATCTATATTTATGCCATAGTCCACTTTATTAAAAACATGCATGATGTCATTCTGAGTTTAATGTATATTTTAGGAGTTTTATTAGTCATTTTTGTTTCACCAAACTAAATACTGATTACTGTAAGTCAGGGATGTATTAACATTCTGTTGCTGAATAACAAATTGTCATGAATTTAAAGGCTTAAAACAATACCCATTTATCATCTCCTGGTTCTGTAAGTCAGAATTCATAGTGGACTTGGCTGGACTCTCTGCTTAGGATCTTGCAAGGTTGAAATTAAGAAGACAACTTGGCTAGGCTTTCATGCAGGGGCTCTGGAGAAGAATCTGCTTCCAATCTCATTCAGGTTGTTTGCAGAATTGAGTTGCTTGTGGTCCTGTCTCTTTGGTGGCCAGTGGCCTCAGTGCTCCTGAAGGCTGCCCACATTCCTCCTATGTGGCACCTTCATTTTCAACACCAGCAACAACAGGTCCAGTCCTTCTCATGTTCTCTATCTCTTTGACTCCCACTTCTGCCATCGGTGAGAAAAGCTTTCTGCTTCTAAGCTGTCATGTGAATAGGTAGGGTTTACCCAAATAACCTCTCTATTTTAAGATAAACTGTACCATATAATATAATTATGAGAGTGATATCATAAATTCATAGATAATGAAGACTAAAGTGGGACATTTTGGGGGATCATTTAAAAGTTAGGCCAATAATAGCCATACAGCACAAACTAATATGAATACAAATATAAATATTTTAAAAATCAGCAACTAATAAACATGGTCTGGAAATGTTGGCAAAACCCAAGTGAGTTGTACTTTCTGAACATAAGCAGAGATAAGTGACTAACACGGTCTTTGTAACAAATGTGCAATATGGAAGATCCTAATGTTTCAACCTTTGTAGTATTTCTGCAAAAGTCCTCATAATTCTTACATTTAAAAATTATGAAATTCTTGTGAACAATCTTTTGTTTTGTTTTTCAATACAACTAAACCTCTTATGTACCACCTGATAGACTATAAAGACCAACTACTCGTCTCCCTGAGAAAAGCTGAGCCAAATATTCATACTCCTAATTTCTTCTTGTTTTGCATATTTGTCTTGGGTGATCTCATTGGCTCACGTGACTTTAATTTTTATCTATCAAATGATATTTTTGAACATTATATAGCACATAAAATGATATACCCAATCTACTGCTTCATCTCCAGTCGCAAGTTAGAAAAGATTATTTTCATTTTCCCACTGGATTTTCAGTAGACTTCTATGCCTATATTAGATGAACTAATCATCAATGCCAACCCTAATATCTATTCCTACTTCTGATGGTGAATTAAAATTCATATTTCAAATAATCTTGAAATATGCTTGGCAGACCCTGTACGATAACTCTGAGTAAAAAATTTTTTTTTTTTAAGACGGAGTCTCGCTCTGTCACCCAGGCTTGAGTGCAGTGGCGCAATCTCTGCTCACTGCAAGCTCCGCCTCCTGGGTTCACGCCATTCTCCTGCCTCAGCCTCCCGAGTAGCTGGGACTACAGGCACCCGCCACCATGCCCGGCTAATTTTTTTTGTATTTTTAGTAGAGACGGGGTTTCACTGTGTTAGCCAGGATGGTCTCAATTTCCTGACCTCGTGATCCGCCCACTTCGGCCTCCCAAAGTGCTGGGATTACAGGCGTGAGCCACCGCGCCCGGCAACTCTGAGTAAAATTTTATGCTAGAAACAGTTTCTTATTTATTAGTATTTTCAACTATGCTTTCCAAATATTTTTAAAGATTTTTTTATCTTGTAAAGATTAATTAACTATAATTGAGAAAGTAAGCACCTCACCTCACTATAGCACAAAAGAATCTCACAACTGTCAACAGTCTATGCTCTACATTTTTTGTCAGAAGGAAGTGACAAACTTCTGTAAAGTTAGCTATTTCACTTAAATATCAAATGCAGGCACATTGCCAATCTACGTATGAAAGGTACGAATAAATATAGATGGAAGATTTAATATTTTCTTCCCATCTATATGGCATCTGTCTTTGGTGCCTGACCATGTTAACTCAGCACACCATTCTTCTTCTTCTTTTTTTTTTTTTTTTTTTTTTTTTTTTTTTTGTGAGACAGAGTTTCACTCTTGTTGCCAGGCTGGAGTGCAACGGCACCATCTAGGCTCACTGCAACCTCTGCCTCCTGTCTTCAGGTGATTCTCCTGCCTCAGCCTCCTGAGTAGCTGGGATTACAGGCATGCGCCACCATGCCTGGCTAATTTTGTATTTTTAGTAGAGATGGGATTTCTCCATGTTGGTCGGGCTGGTTTCAAACTCCCAACCTCAGGTGGTCCGCCTGCCTCAGCCTCCCAAAGTGCTGGTATTACAGGTGTGAGCCACAGGCCCGACCCAGCACACCATTCTTATACATGCTGAACCCACAGCTCCAGCCACAAGCATTTTTGACTCTGCCGGAGGGCTTTCCCTGGTCACTAAAAGCTTTATGACCTGCATATGAGGATACAAGAAGTACCAAGAAATTCATGTTCCCATGGGCATTGTTCAACCAATGACTAAGAAGAGTTGGTGTACAGTTGTCAGTTCTCCTGTCCCTTCAGTTGAGATGGTGCTGAAGTATAACCTACACTTTGCCCTAGAGGTCCCCAGTTGAATTGAACACCAGTTGCACTCAGGAATAACCTGCTCAATATAACATTGTTTATGGAATTCCTTCTCATCCCTATTTACTAGGAAGTAAAATATTGCTTCCTAGCTTTCTTACTGTTGCTTTCTGGGATCACTTCCCCAGAAGACTTTTGCTTACACGCTGGTCTCAGGGTCTGCCTCTGAGGAAGCACAACCTAAGACCAAATGACCCATGAGTCAATTTGCGTTCACCCTGGGGACATGCACCAAACTTTGGAGACCACTTTTCTATTACATAAAGTCTGTATGTCCTGGACTATAGCACAAAAGAACCTCATAATCTGGCCCTTTCCTACTATGTGTTATTCTTTGTCACCCTCTCTCCTCACCCACAGTGAGGTCACACTGAATATCTAACCACTCGTAAAAGTTTCTTCCTCATTTACTATTTTAATTCATTGCATCATTCTATGATCTGTCTTCTATATCAGCTCACAAATTTATTGGAGGTACAGGTCATCTTTTGTGCCTGGAACCAAATATATTTTCAAATAGGTGAAAGAGAAGAATGAACAAATAGATTAATGGATCAATGAATTAAAGTACATCTCAAACACCATCTAAATAGAATTAACTCATGAAAAAAAAAACTTTTTCAATCATATAGTCTAATATGTAGCATGATACAATGGAAGTGCAAATCCTGGGATGAAGAACTTGGATGGCTCTAGTGATAGGCATGAGATCAACTCTTTAACAGGTATAATTTTATTGGTAAAGGTGCTACTTCTTCTATTAAAAAAAAGTTTCTTTTCAAGAACTAGGCAAAAGAGATGGGATGATACAGATCAACCATGTGGAATGTCTCAATATATGCATCAGGAATTTCTTTTTTAAGTAGTGACTTGTATAAAGGAATTGCTACAGACACAAAATACCCCACATTTATTCATCAAAGAAACAACTGCATTAGATTGCTCATATCCAGATTGAATAATATACACAGGTGTTACCAGAATTCATAAAATGATTTTAATCACCCGAGACTCATATGTTTTATAGATTATCATATGAAGGAAAGAATGTTCATCCTACTCCTTCCTAAAAGCGTTGCATGGTTTGTACCAAAAAGTTACAGTGTCTCCAGAGCAAAGCCAAATATAGGGTCTGCACTTTCTGACCAATTATCATGGTAAAACCATACCTAACTACAAAATAAGCAAATTGTTGAGATGTTCATTTAAAAAAGCAGAGTTAGCAGCTAAATGGAAGCATCCATTAACAAATTCGTTTTCAAGTTGTGTGCAAAACCAAATTTAGTTTAAAGAATAACCCAGTTTTGTTTTACAATGTACCTCAAAAGGCAGCAATAAAAGTTTTAGGGAGCAATATGTATTATGTAAAATATCAAAATAAATTTTACTGTTTTGACCTTTTGGATATTCCTTCTACACAATTTCATTCCTCTTGCTTTCCTCTATTTCAGCTTCAGGTGAGAGTAACAGACAGTGAATCATCAAAATCTAAAACATGCAAACACTTTAGAAGTACGGTTCCTGCAAAACTTGATATAGCCATAATCTTTCAGAAATTAAATTCTAAAGGTTAAAAATAACTCAACACTGAGAAAAAGTTAGAAAGAGAGAGGAAAGAAGTGCCCTTAGGGAGCTTTGAGAGTCTGCTTCTATTGTGTTATAATAACCTGATTTCCTTATGCATGTTACCATTCCTTACTTTTAGCCTCCGAGATTCCTGGCTTTTAGACAAAACAAGTTAATAATGACAAATAAAAACAAATGTGTTCACGGAAGTTGTTTATTTATTTTTTTCACCAAAGTTTGCCATGAGGAAAGGCCAAAGCATTGTCATCCAGGTGTCGGTTTGGAATCTTTAGACTCACCTGTCTTTCACAAAAACAACAAAATACATCTCTATCAAAAGTCATTGCTGCCAAAATAAATTCACTTCAGGCAGTAGGTATTTCAATAGATAATAAACTGGATGGACTACATGCCAGAGTTGCTATGTTAGTAAGCCCAGATGGAAACACAGATCAAAACATAGAATGGCTAGAAGGCATGGTAAAAAAAAATACAGGCAGAGGAGGGCTCTGCCTGCTTCTTTTGCAAAGCCATCAAAGACTTAAAGATCTTTGAGCTTCGGAGGGAAAACCCAGGCAGAAAAAAAAAAAAAGGAATTATTACAGCAGGCTCTGTCTACATTTTTTTTCCTTAGACTGCCATTTTCATAGAACCTAAATTCAGGTCAAAATCCTATATTTTAAATTAAGTTGTGAGCCAAAGAACATATCATCAGCTAAAATTAATATAAAAATATATCTCTTAACTATTATCTTCAATTTTCACTTTAACCCAACATTTAGTTTTTTTAGATATCATTCATTTTTCTTTCTTTACCTTCAATATTCTTTGAAGAAAGATGTTACTGAACAGTAAAAATGTCTCACCATCAGAGAACAGAAGAATAAAGCAAATTATAATATTCAAAAGATGAAATAAAAATACTACAGACTCAGAAAAATACAGTCACATAAATACCCACTAAGCTGATAGCAATGGACTGCATTAACATGTTGCTTTTCTTCAGCATCACAAATAAAGCATATTGCTCTAATGGATTGAAAACAAAAATGTAATTCTTCTTATTGAATATTCTGATGGTCAGTTAATATTTGCCACTGTAGTCCCTTGACTAGCTAAGAGAAAGCCAGATAACAGGTTCATTTTAGATGAAAACAATGGCTTTATTATCTTCGTTGTCTCTTGCATTGTGACAGCAGATCCCAGCAGATGTTTCCGTGTGTGTTGTTATGCACAGCACAGACTTCTGTATAAATCATAGAATCAAGCATTCTATACTTGCATTGATGTTTTTCTTTTTACACTTTGATTGAAATGATATTATTATTATGCTCACTTAGTATTTATTGAGCACCCACATGAGTGCATTGCACAGCTGCATAATACAAAAAGACAGCCCCAATGCTACTGAGACATTTGATTTTTTAAAAATAACAACCCTCCCTTTACTCACATTAAATTGGTTATTACCTACCAAATGTTTTGTTTTAGTTTTGCATGGTTACCTATTTTACAAAATCAGATCAATTTTTAATGACTCCGTTAAATTGCAATGTCTCCATTCAGAAAATGGACTAAATAAAATCCACTCTTGAGGTAGTTAAAAAGCATGAAAATAAGACTTGGCAGAATGCTCAGTCATTTCTGTGAGCATGATTACAGACAGAAATAAGAAAGAGGCATGTAGTTAAAATCCAGATGTTAGAATTTTTATGAAAATGATTTTCTTCCCAGGACAACATATTTTTCAGGTAAAAAGCAAAAATCACAGCAAAAGACAAATGTCACCATGAATGTTCTCAGAGAACCATTTACCATATAAGCAACAAAAGGCATATTGTATATCTGAATTGACACTTGGCTCTGGAAGCAACCTAGAATGTACAGATTCAGAGACTTCCCCTTGCCTGCAAGAATTAAAAATTAATACCATGTATTAAAAGGTGAAGCTTTCAGACAATTTTAGCTTAGCCATCATTAGTGAAATCGACACACTCACCAACACTTTTGACTTCCAGGCACATTCCAGTCTTTGCAGAAGTTGCGTATTCCTGTATCTTCAAAAGTTTAGGCTGGAGTGTCTTTACATATACAGGAAGTATATAGAATGTGACATGAGACATTCTTGTACTAATAATTAGAAGGTAAACTTGACCAAAATTTCTGGTCTGGTATTTAAAAATATTTTTGATGGTTACTTTTAGACATCAACTTTACTGGATTAAGAAATACCTAGAGAAGTTAGAAAAGCATTAATTCTGTGTGTGTCTGTGAGTGTTTTCACATGAAATTGGATGCAGTCCGTGGACTGAATGAAAAGGATCCACCTTTAATGTGGGCAGGAACCATCCAATCAGCTGGGAGCTTGGATAAAACAAAAAGGATTTCCTTTCTTTCCTGGAGCTGGGACACACTCTTCTCCTACCCTTGGAAATCAGGACCCTAGGCTCTCTCATCTTGGGACTCAGGATTTATACCTTGGGTTTACAGGCCTCCCAGCCTCAATGGAGAATTTTACCATCGGCTTCCATGTTTCTGAGATTTTCAAACTTTGACTGGGCCACACTATTGGCACCCTAGGGTCTTCAGCTTGCAGATAGCTTGTCATAGGATTTCTTAACCAGCATAATTTCATGAGCCAACTCCCCAAATAAATCTCTCATATATGTATATGTATATGTATATGTATATGTATATGTATATGTATATGTATATGTATATGTATATGTGTACCTGTGTCTGCATCTATATCTGTATCTAGATCCTATTGGCTCTGTCTCTCTAGAAAATCCTGAATAATAGGTTTTATTTTATTATGTATATGTATATGTATATGTGTATATGTATATATGTGTGTGTGTATATATATGTGTGTGTGTGTATATATGTGTGTGTATGTATATGTGTGTATATATATATTATATATATATATATATATATATGAATGACAGTGTCATGACAGTGTCTTGCTCTGTCACTCAGGCTGAAGTGCAGTGGTACAATCACAGTTTACTGTACCCTTTACCTCCTGAGCTCAGGTGATCCTCCCACCTCAGCTTCCTGAGTAGCTGGGACTCCAGGTGTGTACCATCATGCTGGCTAATTTTTGTATTTTTTGTAGGGATGGAGTTTTCCCATTTTCCCCAGGCTGGTCTTGAACTTCTGGACCCAAGCGATCTGCCCACCTTGGCCTCCCAAAATGCTGGAATTACAGGCCTGAGCCACCATCCTAGGCCTGAATTATTTTAAATGCCTTAAAAAATGTTCACATTATTTAACCAAAAGACACAACATCATTTGGTAATTAAAAATTTATTCAATTTTTCTTGACAATATTTGTTAAACACTTACTACATGCTTGGTACTATGCTAATTGCTAAAGAGTCAATGGTAAAAATAAATAATTTTTTTAAAATGTTGTCTTTACCTTCACAGAGGTTATAATCTAGTAAAAAAAAGGCAAATTTTTAAAATTATACATATATACACAGAATTGCAAGTACTGAAAAATCAAGGAAGGAAAAATGTAAGACCTTATGAGAGCCTAACATTATGAGCTGTATCCAATTTAGATTTGGATCTACAGACCTCTCCAAGACAAGAGTTTCCCCAGGCTCCACCTACAACCTCCTCTTCTTTCAGATGCTGTGTTCAATTCCTCTCACAATGATCCTTATTTGACCTTACTAAGATTAAGTTGATGGTCCTTTCTACTTTTATCCCAATCCATCAGTCCCTTTTTCTTCACTTTCTAATTATCCTGTTTATATTTCATGGTGTGTTACTTCAAAATTCCTCTGGCTAACACCCTAAATCCTTGTTCCTCTATCTTCTTGTTGCTTCCACCTGGCAAACTCTACTGGGGAGAACTGCTTCCCACTCATCCTGTCTGCTCCTGAGCTTTGAGTGCTACTGGAAGAAGATCCATTGCAGAGTGGCCCCTGATTCACAAAACTTAAATGAGTCCTTAAAATCACCTGCTTGTCCTATTGCATTTTGAACCTTCTCCTCTAATCCCAGAGTTTCCTCTGCCCTTCTACCACTCACATTCAGTTCATCTGCTACTTCAAAAAGAAAACCATCACATTAAACTTTTATCTTCCCAACACTAAAAATGCAACCTGCACAATGTCATCTATCTTTTATTCTTACCACTTATTGCTATAAAAGAGTCTCTTTTTCCTACTTAAATCTAATTCCTGTCTCAATTTCTTGAGAAATGTAGGTATTGAACTTTCTCCCTCTTGATATTTCACCTCTCTTTCAAATAGATGTTTTTCCTTCATTAAAAGAAAAATTTAGGAAAAAAGTCTCAACCTGACTGTACATTTCTCTACTTATATATTCTTTCTCTGGTTCCCTTTAGAAGTGATCTCATGAAAAGTTCTTATGTTAAGATTCTCCAATTCCATAATTCCCATGGCCTCAGATAATATTCTCTACTCCCTGGGCTTCCATAGAACTTTATATTCCTTACTTTCTTCTCAACTCTCTGGTATTGTTTTTCTGTCTTCTTTGGAGATTCTTTATTCTCTCTAGCCATTAGACATTGGTGCTTCCCAATACTCAATCAGACCCTCATCTCCTCATTCTACACTCTGTCCCAATGCAATCTCATCCACTATTTGTCTCCTATAGACATGCATCTCCTAGATTTATATCATTGTTCGGTATTCTCCACATGGTTATGTAAAAGGCACTTCATATTCATATTTTTAAGTACCCTAACAAGTAACTCATCATCTTTTCCTCCCACTTCTAAAACACCTCTAATGTTTCCTTTCATACAGAATGGCACTCTTATTCATCTAGTTGCCTGTATTAGCTCTCCAGAGAGATAGAAGCAATAGTGTGCAAGGATGGGTGGATCAATAGATTGATAGATCAGATAGATAGATAGATAGATAGATAGATAGATAGATAGATAGATAGATAGGATTTATTATGGGAAGTGGCTCATACAATTATGGAAGCTGAGAAATTTCACAATATGCCATCTGTAAGCTGGAGAACCACAGAATCTAGTAGCATGGCCTAGTCCAAGTACAAAAGCCTCAGAACAAGGGAAGCCAATTGTGTAAATCTCAGTCCAAGTCAAAGCCTTCAAAACATGGTAGGCTGCTTGTGCCAAAGTTCTGGAGTACAAAGGGCAGAGAATCTGAGCTCTTATGTTCAAGAGCAGGAGAAGAAGGGCTTCTCAGCTCCAGAAGAAAGAGAGGTAATTCACCTTTCCTTTTCTCTCTCTCTTTTTTTTTTTTTTGACAGGATCTCACTATGTTGCCCAGTCTGGATTGCAGTGGCTATTCACAGGCTTGATCCCACAACTGATCAGCAGGAAAGTTTTGACTTGCTTTGTTTCTGTCCTGGCTTGATTTACCCCTCCTTAGGCAACCTGGTGGTTCCCCATTCTTGGGAGGTCAACATATTAATGCGGAACATAGTGTGGACCCCCAATTGGCATAGCACACTACAGCCCAGAAGTCCTGGACTCAAGCCATCCTCCTGCCTCCAGAGTAGCTGAGACTACAAGCATGCACCATCATGCCTAGCTCCTCCATCTTTCTGTTCTATTGGGCCCATCAGCCAATTGAATGGTGCCCACTCGCCTTGGATGAGGGCAGATCTTCTTTACTCAGTCCACTTATTCAAATGCCAGTCTCTTCCAGAAACACCCTCATGTCCATAACACAGAAATAATGCTTTACCAGCTATCTGGGGCTCCCTTAATCTAGTCAAGTTGACAACTAAAATTAAGCATCCCATTTCCCAAGCCAGAAACCTATGAATGATTTTGACTCCCAGGCTTGCTTCCCAAATCGAATCTGTCACAGAATCCTGTCATCTAATCTTTTAACTATTACTTACATATGTTTACTTTTTCCCAGTTCTCCCATCACCACCCTAGTTCAAAGCATCATTTCTCACTTCAACGACTTCAACAAGCTTGTAGCTGTTCAGTAGCGACCTCCTCATTCAAGCAGAATTATATTCTTGAAATGCAAATCTCTTCATATCATGTCCCCACTAGAAACACTTCAAGGGCTTTTCTAGCTTCTTGGGTAAAGAAAACTGCTTAATATGTCCTGGATGATTCTATATTGATGAACTCTATCTACCTCTCAGATTCCATCATACATTATGCTTCTCCGCTCTCCTCTCTATGGTCCAGTCATCATTGACCTTGTTTCAGCCCCACACATGAGATATTTTTTATCTTGTTATGTGCTTCTCTGAACACTTCATTCTGTCAGATTATAATTTGGGTGGCCCTTTTGACAGTGAGACTCTTTTGAGAGTGAAATTGCCTTCTATTAAAAATAATGCAGGGATAACAGAGATAAACAAGAGTGATTGTGCCTCAGTTTCAGTTGAAGCATGAATATAATAATGATTAAGATACAATAGTGATTATCAAAATGATTCATCATCACCACCACCACTTCAATGCCACTCATGACATTTAGTGACTCACCCATATAGCACACCTACAGCATTCTATATTTGGAGCTGCCATATTCACTGTGATTCTTCCCAGATTTCCAACTCTGTGATTTCTTCACCTATAGATTCTAGTGGAGCTTGGTCCATGCATTTGTGTATTTTATTATATTGTATTTAACATGAATTATATTACAATTATTTCTCCCTTACATTACAGTTGAAGTATTTTTTTAAATTTTTTTTCAGTTATGTGCGAGATAGTGTTACAGTCTGAATATTTGTGTCTCCCCAAAATTCACACGTTGAAACCTGCTCCCCAGTGTGACAGTATTGAAGCTGAGGTTTTGGGAGGTCATTAGGTCTTAAGGCCTCCACCCTCCTGAATGAGACTACCATCCTTATAAAAGATCACCCAGAGAGCTAGCCAGCCCCCTTCCACCATGTGAGGACACAGCAGAATGTGGGCCATCACCAGAAACTGCAACTGCCGGCACCTTGATCTTAGACTTTCCACCCTCCAGAACTGCAAGCAATAAGCTTATGTTGCTTGTAAATCACCTAATCTAATATATTTTGCTATAGCAGCCCAAATAGACTAGGACACTTAAATTATCTATGAATTAAATTCAGAGTAACCAAAAATGGTTTACAGCACCCTAGGTAAGAAGGCCTTATATGAATACTTCCCTAAAAAGTAATCATGAGTAGAATATTTTAATTATGAGAATGCTCTTTTTAGAAGTGTATATAAGGGGGGATTGTCAAGGACCCCAAAGCAAAGATTCTCCTAGAGTACCCATGACCTGGGCTAGAGACTTTTAGTTTGTCGCTGTAGAGTTGACTTCATTCACTCCTCTGTACTTGCTCTTTGCCCTGGTGGCTGACCCACACTGATTGCCTCACCTCAGAGGGTGTCTTTATTCCTGGCTTTTCAGTGGTAAGGCCAACAGAGATGGGAAGCAGTTATCACTGAGAGAAAGATATTGAGAAAGGAAAGGAAAGTGAGATAGGTGTTTGATTCTTCAAGTTCTTTCCTGCTGTATGCCTTAGGGTGGCTCTTTGTTGAAGTCCGTGGTAATATACCAATTTATGGGGAGGAGATGCCTTGACTTTGGGCTGAGCACTCTAGAGGGCCCTGTACTGCCCCTTGTTTGGCCTTGTCCATAACACAGAGCAAGGATCTATAGGCCAAGGGAACATTCCCACCCAGAGCTCAGCCTCCGCATGCTAGACCATGTCCTTGGTACACAGGTCTGCACAATTCCCTGCTAAAATGGCTCTAATCCTATTTGTAGGGTCTGAGTGGGTAGGTACAGCTTTTTGGAGAAGGGTGATAAGGATGAAGACGGAGTTTAATAACATGGAATCAAGGGTTAATATACGTACATATGAGGTCTATTCCAGCATAAAAGGTGCCTCCAGGGATGTGAAGAGGTGTGAGGCAGCTCTGGGCCAGAAGTGGCAATGTGTCCTTCCACACTGCAATGTGCCAGTGAGAAACTCCATGGAGTCTAAGACTTTGAAATACAAATTTGGCCTTCCAAGCCATTATAAGGTTCTGTTAAGGTGAGGTAACAGAATTTATTTTATTTCTCTGTTAGCCTGATTTATTACTTTTAAATATTTACATGTATGGTTTGTAGTCCTCAATTTTTGCTCTTGCCCAGGGTTGCATAAATGCTAGGTGTGGACCAAGTCCACAGGTTTTGTCAAGTGACCTTCTTCATACAGGTGACCTTTCACTTTAGGCCTAAGGTAATGACAGTGCCTTTTAGCAGCACTTCCCATATTGGTCTTCCTATATCCCACCCATACCTTTGCAAATCATCCTTAAATTAAACTCTTCTTAATTAACCCATGTGAGTACAGCATCTATTTCCTACCAGGACCCTCATAGTCACGAAGCCCTGAAGCCAAAAACTGAAAGCATGATAATGCCACATGATTACAGGGCAGTAATTTGAACTTAGGTGTAAACGCTGTATAAAATATAAATGTGTATTGATGTTTAGTTATGTAATATACATAGGCTAACTAGTTTCTTGGGCAAAGAAACCCAGTTCTAGAACATTTGTAGCTATAGTTGCACCAGATACACCTATTTTTAAAAGATGCCTTGTGTTTTTTATTTTTTTTCTATCCAATCCATGCTCTTGCTGTTTTATCTGCTGGAATTTGTTGCACAAATTGCTATTTCTCCCCTGAAGGGATGAGGCACACAGAACTTCTTGGGAACACCCAGTCTACCCAATCAAAGACTACCCTTAACATCTCCATGCTCCCCAGGTACCATGCCCAACCATGCCCAGGTACCATTCCCCAAGGGCAAATTCTATAATCCTCCATGATTCGGGAAAAAAAATCTACTTTTGTTTCCAACTAGGACTTGGGAGATGAAAAAATAACACCAGGGCTTGTTTTTGCATTGAATTGCTTTTGCCTTTACTAAAATACATGTATACACAATATAGAAATAAACAAGTCTGTTAGAATATGAGAAAAATCTCAAAAGCACTTTATTTGAGTAGCCCCAATATATATTACCTTTATTTTCTATTGCATTTTCAAATGTTTTCTATAATTAAAAGTTACTTTTCTTTTCTATTGCATTTTTAATGTTTCCTATAATTAAGAGTCATTGTAAGAGCCATATGTATTCAGAATTCAACAAATTGTTTTAGAATAAAACTTCTGATTCTGGAACTTCTTAGTGAGCATCCCAGAGATAATAGAGAGATAAGTAACCCTATAAAGAGACAGACTAAGAAGGATGAAGAGCCTAAAAAAGATAGACAACCTGGTTCTGTTAATTTGACCAGAGAAAATTAGAAAATACTATTAGAGTTTTCAACTATCTATTACACCAGGTCATGAGCCTAAAACAGCCATTTCAAATTATACATGTAAGAAAACTTAGGAAATTTGTCAAGTATTATCAGGATGATGGGGGGCTCCAGAAATATTCCAAAGTATTGGTCATTAATTAGTTCGTTACACTACACAGATATTCACTGATGTCCATTAAGCACCAGACATTGTTTATGGTGCTGTAGATATAGCAAGGGAGAGGTAAGTCAAGATTTCTGCTGTCTTAGAATTTGTATAATTGGAGGTAAGATATTAAACAAGTAAGCAAGGAAATGACCAAAATAAGTTTACATAGTAATATGTGTTGTTAAGGCAAAAATATTAAAGTATAACAGAAGATGAAAAGAAAAACTGCTATTAATCATGTGGTCAGCAAGTCCTCTTTAAGGAGGTGACATAATGCTAAGCCTTGAATGGATTCTTCCAATTAAATGAACCATTAATTCTCATTTTCTAAAAGAAAAACCAATTTGCCTTTCAATTTAGGTGCAAAGTCTGTATAAAATATAAATGTGTATTGATGTTTAATTATGTAATATACATAGGCTAACTAGTTGCCTGAGCTGGCCACCAAAATGACAGGGAACATAAAGGTCAGATGAGATGAATTCTGGGACTAACTCAGATACGCTTTTGGAGGCCTTATATAGAATTCAGAAATCTCAAGTCTCTGGCCAAATGTCAAAGATTCAACAAAGGGTAATAAAAAAGATAACCTGAAAGCTGTAAGTCACCACCAAGAGCACCTTTTAGGCATGACCTTCACCAGCAGGAAAAGGAACAATGCATGTGCTGTAGATCCACATGGATAGAAGTGGGGAAAAGGAGGTTGTATTGCATATATTTGTGTCTGCAGTTTGAGAATGGGACGGAGTTTTAGTACTTCATCTTGGTTGCACAAGTTGTTTGATTGGATGTAATTGTTATCTACCAGTGTGGTTAATGGTTTGGATAGAAATATGACAGATGACAGATTCTACAAGGGCACTGAATGGGTAACATGCAATAAAGTGTGCCAGATTGACTTATGGATGATATTGTCCCAGGACTTGATTTATTTCCAGCGTTATGTTCAACCTTCATGCACAAATATGTGAAATGGATCAATTAGCTATTTCATAAAGATTTTCCTTTTTATTCAGGGCTGTGAATCAGATCACTACTCCTTTAAACATTTTCCCAGGAGCTACATTTGAATTGAAGAAGATCCATTTTAAGAGACTCATAACTCCTTCACACTTACAGCTTCAGATGAAATAATAAAGGAGAGGCACAGTTTACCATTTTCTTCCCATTTTGCTTTGGTGCTCTTTTATTTTCACTTTATAACTGTAGGCAAGACTTGATTGATGGGCATAATAAAGGATTTGAGTAGCTTAAGAAAATAAGGCAAGCTAATAGGAATAAAACAAACCATTTTTCATTTTCATAAGTCTTGAAATTGATTTAGGATGCTACTCCAGTGGCCCCATGAGCATGGACAGTTTCTTTGCAGTTGGTTCTAGATGAATGGACTGTTTTGCTTACTAAGAAAATATTTATAAAGATACAGTGAGTTTTGGCCAGGCACAGTGGCTCACACCTGTAATCCCAGCACTTTGGGAGGCCAAGGTGGGCGGATCACCTGAGGTCAGGAGTTCGAGACCAGCCTGGCCAACATGGGGAAACCCCATCTCTACTAAAAATACAAAATTAGCCGGGCATGGTGCTGCATGCCTGTAATCCCAGCTACTCAGGAGGCTGAGGCAGGAGAATCACTTGAACCCAGGAGGCAAAGTTGCGGTGAGCCAAGATTGCACGACTGCACACCAGCCTGGGCGACAGAGTGGGACTGCATCTCAAAAAAAAAAAAAAAAAAAAAAAGATACAGTGAATTTCATGCATGGATACATCATGTTTTTGATAGGCATACCTAGCATGTATATTGTATTTAAAGATAGACAAATTTGAAAAAGACTAATTATTTCCTACATTATCACTTGATTACACAGTATCAGTGGTCTACTTTAAGTGACAAGAAATTTTATTGAAGAAACACTGCCACTTGGAAATGCCAGTTTAAAATAAAATCAAATCAAATTATATAAGATTATGATGTTAAATATTAAAAAGGAGTGTTCCTGGGGTTATTTTTAAAGCAATTATAATTTATGTAAAGGTATGAAACAACAACAAATATATATATTTATATATATGATATGTGTGTGTGTGTACATATGCATCTGTATATATATATAGATATAGCATTCTTGGATTTCAGGGACCACTAGTATCCCTAGAAAACCCATGACAAAGAATGACCATAAAAAACTGCAACACAGGCCGGGCGCAGTGGCTCACACCTGTAATCCCAGCACTTTGGGAGGTCAAGGTGGGTGGATCACGAGGTCAGGAAATCAAGACCTTCCTGGCTAACATGGTGAAACCCCGTCTCTACTAAAAATACAAAAACAAAATTAGCCGGGTGTGGTGGTGGGCGCCTGTAGTCCCAGCTACTTGGGAGGCTGAGGCAGGAGAATGGCGTGCACCCGTGAGGCAGAGCTTGCAGTGAGCTGAGATCGTGCCACTGCACTCCAGCCTGGGCGACAGAGCGACGCTCTGTCTCAAAAAAAAAAAAAACCTGCAACACATGAGCAATTATGAAATGATTAGCTTCTCTTCTCCCAGCACTGAAGATTACGTGAGACTCCAAAAAACAATAGGCAACTTGATATATTCCTGGCTGTATTTAAATTGGGACATACATGGTCTGGTTCCAGCACTGGTCCCACTAATAGATTGCAGCACTATTCACAATAGCCAAGATTCGTAGGCAATCTAAGGGCCCATCAACAGATAAATGGATAAAGAAAATGTGGTACATATATATGATGGAATATTATTCAGCCATAAAGAGGAATGAAATCCTGTTATTTGCAACAGATATGGATGGAATTAGAGGACATCATGTGAAGCTGCATAAGCCAGGCACGGAAAGGCAAACTGTATGTTCTCACTTATTTGTGGGAGCTAGAATTTAAAATAATTAAACTCATGGATGTAGAAAGTAGAATGACTTAGCAGAGGCTGGGAAGGGTGTGGGGAGAAAATGAGGATGATTAATGAGTACAAAAATATATGGGATGAATATTATCTAGTATCTGATAGTACAACAGGCTGATTACAGTCAACAAAAATTTATTACACACTTAAAAATAACTAAGAGTATAATTGAAATGTTTGTAACACAAAAAAATATAATAAGTGCTTGAAGTGGTGTTTAACCCATTTGCTGTGATGTGATTATTCTGCATTGTGTGCAAAATATCTTATCCAAATATCTTATGTACCTCACAAATATATGCACCTACTATGTACCCACAAAAATTAAAAAATAAAATAATGTATTATTTGGGGCATGTCATTTAATCTCTCTATGCCATAATTTTCCTCATATGTAAAACAAAATTGTTGTAGTAGATGATGCTCAAGGTTCCTTTCATTTTATACTGTAATGTAGTACTGCTATTTACTCTTAAAGAGCTCACATGTAAAATCTAGAGAATGTAACTTGTAGCTTGAAGTAAAGCCTATTGTGCCTAGAAGTAATGATATCTGTCTTAGTCTGCTAGAGTGGCCATAACAAAATACCACAGACTGGGTGGCTTAAACAGCAGACATTTATGTCTTACCATTCTGAAGGCTGAAAGTTCAAGATTGAGGAGTCAGCAGGTTTGGTTTCTTGGATCCTCTCTCCTTGGCTTGCAGGTGGCCATTTTCTCATTGTGTCCTCACATGGCATTTTCTCTTGCATACACACATCCCTAGTGTCTCTCTCATTGTAAGGGCACCAGAAATATCCTCCTTAAAGGCCCTATCTTTGAATACAAACATTGGGGGTTGTTGCTTCAACATATAAATTTTGGGTGACACAATTCAATTCATAGCAATATCCTAACAATAGTGATGAATAAAAGGACCAAATGTGTAAGAGTTTTATACCAAATGCACACAATGTATCTGAGACACCAAAAAATATGTTTTATAATTCTGTATTTATGTGTGTATATATACCTACACATTTGTGTACATATTTTCATTTATTTTTGGAATCAAGTTATCTTACTAACTGATCATTCTAGGATTCTTGAGGTATTGTCTTTTTAATGGATTCTGCGTATGGTTTTGAATTTTATAGGTTCTAATTTTAAAGTATAAAAAATGTAAAAATAAAATAAAACCAAAAACCCATAATAGATAATTTAGTCCTAAAATTAGCCCTTTATTTGCATGCCAGTTAATGATAATGGGAGAAACTTAGCTCTGTGATGTTTTCAGTGAAAACATTCTAAGAGTAAACCTTTTTCTTTGTAACAATCATTTCTGTGTGAGGCAGTTCTGGTCTTGTATCTCTCAGAGAATCTGGCCTGGGAATCATTGTTCTGCTCTCAGCATTATCTCTGAGTTTGGGTTTTCCCTGAGATTGGATGCCCTTCTTAGCTCTATTGCATTGGAGAGGATATAGTTGTCTACTGTGTGAGCATCACCTAGAGTACTCTTCACCCTTCCACTAGGTCTATGGCTTCAGGTAATTAGTGGGCATGGAGTGTCCTCACCAGCTTCACAACAATGTGTCACAAACAGTTGTGAACATGCTTTTAGTTCAAAGAGGTTCAAAAGAAAGACCTCAGCAGTGTTTTCAAGCCCCTTGAGGAAAAACTCCAGTTCGTACATACTTCTGAGAGACCTACTTTGGGGATGCAGGGAACTTCTATTGTCTACCAGACAATGTTGTTTCTGGATGGTTTTCAGTGATGTTTGTGTTTAAAAAAAAAAAATCAAGCTAAATTCAGCTCTTCTGCTTTTAAGAATAGTGCAATATCATACTTCACAAATATATACAACAATGATCAAAGGAACTCATCTTTCTGAACAGGATGAGGGTCACGGTAGAGTGCCCAGTGAACAGAGCATTTCCGTAATAGAAACCAGGGGATATAAAAAACAGATACTACCAAAGTTCAGGCAAAAATCACAATGCTATCTAAATAAAGCTATCTCTCTAGGGATTCTCTTAATTTTTGAAAGTGAGGTTTGCTAATGAGTAATTTTATTTCCAATTTAATACCATCATTATAATTTACACATTAACTGTGACCCACGTTATGTAAATTGCCCTTGAAACATGTCCAATGTGAAATTTTAAAAATGTATAACTTTGTCCACAAGCTGTAATTTATGTGCTGATTCATAAATTTGTATCAATGAGTTGTGCCTAGTCAGTCCTGCACCAAAACCCTCAGAAGCATAAGGCAGTGGCTAAGACCGTGGAGTCCAAATTTTTATTGTTCGGGTCCAAATGGGGCAACATGGCTTGAACACTTGTGGCCATGTGGGCTTCATAAGATGACTTTACCTCTTAGACTCAATTTCTCCATCAGTAAAATGAAGATAATAGCTCTTACCACAGAAGGTTGTTGCAAGGCTCAAATGAAGGAGTACACACAAAGCTCTTAGTTTAGTACTCAGTGCAGAGTAAGGATCCAATAAATATTAGCTATAATTACTTTTTTTCTTTAATGGGTTGTTACTGTGCTCTACAGGGGTATATATTAAAAAATAAAACCCCAACATAAAATAAAAGGTCAAAAATCACTTATCTGTGTAATTTGCATGATGGAAAGTATATATAAAAACAACAATAACAAATAAAAAGACATTACTGAAGTAGAATGCATTGCACAGCTTTTAGATTATGTCTGTATAAACGCAAGTTCTCAAATTGACATTCACTTTCATGTTAAGATAATAAATCACCAGTTGATTTTTTAAAAAAGTGCTCTCGTTATCTTAATAATAAATTCCAATTTATTATCATATATTCTGCTTTCTCTTTTTACTCAAAATCGCTGAAACAAACTAAAACCGAATAGCAATTACAAGCATATCTATGTTGAGAATTACCTCAAGTAGCTTAAATGAATTAAGGACACGCTCATGCTCATGCAGGTTGTGTCAAGGAATTCACAATCAAGATAAAAATTCCAACTAGTAAAATGGTGTTCAGTAGAGAGAAATGTGGTATGTTGTGATTCTAACTAGAAATACTTCACATTGTTTTAGGCTTCAAAGTTGAAGTAGACACTGCTGATCACCACCACTTGCTTTTCCCCTTTCTGCTTTGCTGAAAGAACTCTTCCCACTGCAGACACTCAGAATGCTAGCCATTCACTTTACTGGCCTCTTGCAACTGGGACACAGGCGCGTGATTTCCAGGAGAACTCTTCTTAATGGCTTATGAGTAAGGACTTCTTCCCTGACAAAAAGAGCAAGGTATAGGAGAAAATATGGCTTCATCTTGCCTTTAGATGTTATTTCCTATAGGTGTGAAAACGGGAGACAGTGAAGCTGTCTTAGGATTATAAGGGTCAAGCTTTGCAACTTTTCAAAGAAGCCAACCCAGAAGCTTCTAGATTAACCAACCCTGGTAATATTTAACTTCAGAATTTCTGTAATGTGAGATAACAAATGTATATGGTTTAAACCCCTTTTATCAGATGATATTCTAATGCATGCAATTAATATAAGATTTCTTAAGGGGTAGAGTTATGATAACTAATAGTAGCTTTCATAACATTATAAAATTATTATAAAAGACCTTAGTTTAATTAAAATAACCTCATATTGATTATTGAGAAATAATTCTCTCGTCTTAAATCAATCCTACCAACTAGTAGAGGGATAAGTAGATTTTTAAAAGATCATAATTTATAATATGATAAATTCATTATGGTCCCATTTAAATAAAAAAAAGAGAAAAAGAGAAAGTGGGGGAGAGAGAGGGAGACAAAGAGAATATTTATGAGGATATTTATCAAAATTTTAACATTTCTTACCCTGGGTAACAATTAAAATAAGCTTTTACTTTAAAAAAATCATTATATACTCATCTCCATATTTTTGCATTATTTAATGTTATTAGTATTTAAGTTAAAATATAACTTTTTATGTTGAAAAAATAAAAACATGGATAATTTGTATCTATTTATTAAACTGTGGTGAATTTGGGGAAAAAAGAAAGAGGTATTCTCACACACTTATTGTGAAAATATACTATGTGCACATTTTCCTGCAATTTAATAATGTACAATATGACATAGAAAGATGTTCATGACATATCTATATATATATATATATATATACTTTGACAGTATGTGTGTGTGTTATTTCGATAGCTTCTGCATAAATGCATATGTGTAGGTGTGTTTAGTCAAATAAACATTCTGAAAGAATAATCACCAATTCTTAATGGCAGTTTTAATTGACATAGAATATTATGGAAAGACAATGCAACAGGAAGAGCTAACTATCCTAAATACATATACACCCAATACAGGAGCACCCAGATTAATAAAGCAAGTTCTTAGAGACCTACAAAGAGACCTAGACTCCCACACAATAATAGTGGGAGGATTTAACACCCCACTCTCAATATTAGACAGATCAATGAGACAGAAAATTATCAAGGATATCCAGGACTTGAACTCAGCTCTGGACCAAGCAGACTTAATAGACATCTACGGAACTCTCCACCCCAAATCAACAGAATATACATTCTTCTCCGCACCACATAGCACTTTTTCTAAAATTGACCACATAATTGGAAGTAAAACACTCCAGCAAATGTAAAAGAAAAGAAATCACAGCAAACTGTCACTCAGAGCACAGTGCAATCAAATTAGAACTCAAAATTAAGAAACACACTCAAAACCACTCAACTACATGGAAACTGAACAACCTGCTCCTGAATGGCTACTGGGTATATAACGAAATTAAGGCAGAAATAAAGATGTTCTTTGAAACCAATGACAACAAAGACACAACGTACCAGAATCTCTGGGACACATTTAAAGCAGTGTGTAGAGGCAAACTGATAGCACTAAATGCCCACAAGAGAAAGCAGGAAAGATCTAAAATCAACACCCTAATGTCACAATTAAAAGAACTAGAGAAGCGAGAGGAAACAAATTCAAAAACTAGCAGAAGACAAGAAATAACTAAGATCGGAGTAGAACTGAAGGAGATAGAGACACAAAAAATCCTTCAAAAAATTAATGAACCCAGGAACTGGTTTTTTGAAAAGATCAACAAAATAGACCGCTAGCCAGACTAATAAAGAAGAAAAGAGAGAAGAATGAAATAGACACAATAAAATATGATAAAGGGGATATCACCACCCGTCCCACAGAAATACAAACTACCATCAGAGAATACTATAAGCACCTCTATGCAAATAAACTAGAAAATCTAGAAGAAATGGATAAATTCCTGGACATTACCATATTATTAACAGACCGTAACCTTAATAGCACCTTCTTTGACCCAGCTGGAGGGGGAGACCCTATCCTGTACCAACACCTATTTTGATTCTTTGGTCACCCCGAAGTCTATATCCTAATCCTACCAGGCTTCAGAATAATTTCCCACATCGTAACATATTACTCTGGAAAAAAAGAACCGTTCGGATACATGGGCATAGTCTGAGCCATGATGTCAATTGGTGTTAAGAGTTGTGAGGGTAGTTATGATGAATAGTGATAGCATTATCCCTTCTAGGCATAGCAGGGAGGATATTAGGTGTGAGCAGTAGATTAGTATTCCCAAAAGTGAGATAGTAAATGCTAGTGTAATGTTTATGTAAATGAGGGTTAAACATAGACCGAGAACCTTCAAAGCCCTTAGTAAGTTAATAATACTTAATTTCTGCAACAACTAAGGACTGCAAAACCCTACTTTGCATCAACTGAACACAATTAGTTGCGGCAATAAAAATAATTAGGGAGATTAGTATAAGGGACCAGGTTCGTCCCTTAATGTTATGTATCATTATTATTTGTTTTAAGATGAGTTGGATTAGTCATTGTTGGGTAGTGATTAGTCAGTTGTTGATGAGGTATTTGGAAATTGGAACCAGTAAGGGGGGAAATAGGATGATTGGTACTGCAGCAGGTAGGCCTAGAATTGTGGGGGTAATGAATGAAGTGAATAAATTTTCGTTCATTTTGGCTCTCAGGGTTTATTGTGATTTTTCATGTTAATAAATTTTGGTGAGGCAGGTAGGTGATAGTGTGTGTTTAGTATTTTTAGTTGGCCCTCCCAAGACTAAACAGGAAGAAGTCAAATCTCTGAATAGATCAATAACAGGTTCTGAAGTTGAGGCAATAATTAATAGCCTACCAACTAAAAAAAGTCCAGGACCAGACGAATTCACAGCCGAATTCTACCAGAGGTACAAAGAGGACCTGGTATCATTTCTTCTGAAACTATTCCAATCAATAGAAAAGGAGGGAATCCACCCTAACTCATTTTATGAGGCCAGCATCATCCTGATACCAAAGCCTGGCAGAGACACAAAAACAAAAAAAGAGAATTTTAGACCAATATCCCTGATGAACATCGATGCAAAAATCCTCAATAAAATACTGGCAAACTGAATCCAGCAGCACATCAAAAGCTTATCCACAATGATCAAGTCAGCTTCATCCCTGGGATGCAAGCCTGGTTCAAGATATGTAAATCAATAAACATAATCCATCACATAAACAGAACCAACGACAAAAACCACGTGAATATCTCAATAGATGCAGAAAAGGCCTTTGACAAAATTCAACAGCCCTTCATGCTAAAAACTCTCAATAAACTAGGTATTGATGGAACGTATCTCAAAATAATAAGAGCTATTTATGACAAACCCACAGCCAATATCATAATGAATGGACAAAAACTGGAAGCAATCCCTTTGAAAACCAGCACAAGACAAGGATGCCCTCTCTCACCGCTCCTATTCAACATAGTATTGGATGTTCCGGCAAGAGCAATCAGGCAAGAGAAAGAAATAAAGGGTATTCAATTAGGAAAAGAGGAAGTCAAATTGTCTCTGTTTGCAGAGGACATGAATGTATATTTAGAAAAACCCATCGTCTCAGCCCCAAATCTCCTTAAGCTGATATGCAACTTCAGCAAAGCCTTAGGATACAAAATCAATGTGCAAAAATCACAGGCATTCCTATACACCAATAATAGACAAACAGAGAGCCAAATCATGAGTGAACTTCTATTCACAATTGCTACAAAGAGAATAAAATACCTAAGAATCCAACTTACAAGGGATGTGAAGGACCTCTTCAAGGAGAAGTACAAACCACTGCTCAAGGAAATAAGAGAGGACACAAACAAATGGAACAACATTCCATGCTCATTGTTAGGAAGAATCAATACTGTGAAAATGGCCATACTGCCCAAAGTAATTTATAGATTCAATGCTATCCCCATCAAGCTACCACTGACTTTCTTCACAGAATTGGAAAAAATTACTTTAAATTTCATATGGAACCAAAAAAGCCCACATAGCCAAGACAATCCTTAGCAAAAAACAAAGCTGGAAGCATCACACTACCTGACTTCAAACTATACTACAAGGCTACAGTAACCAAAACAGCATGGTACTGTTACCAAAACAGATATATAGACCAATGGAGCAGAACAGAGGCCTCAGAAATAACAACACACATCTACAACTATCTGATCTTTGGCAAATCTGACAAAAACAAGCAATGGGGAAAGGATTCCCTATTTAATAAATGGTGTTGGGAAAACTGGCTAGCCATATACAGAAAGCTGAAACTGGATCCCTTCCTTACACCTGATACAAAAATTAACTCAAGATGGATTAAACACTTAAATATAAGACCTAAAACCATAAAAACTCCAGAAGAAAACCTAGGCAATACTATTGAGAACATAGGCATGGGCAAAGACTTCACGTCTAAAACACCAAAAGCAGTGACAACAAAACCCAGAATAGACAAATGGCATCTAATTAAACTAAAGAGTTTCTGCACAGCAAAAGAAACTATCAGCAGAGTGAACAGGCAACTTACAGAAAGGGAGAAAATTTTTGCATTCTATCCATCTGACAAAGGGCTAATATCCAGAATCTACAAATAACTTAGATTAATTTACAAGAAATAAACACACAACCCCATCAAAAAAAGGGCAAATGATATGAACAGACACTTCTCAAAAGAAGACATTTATGCAGCCAACAAACTTATGAAAAAATGCTCATCACTGGTCATTAGAGAAATGAAAATCCAAATCACAATGAGATATCATCTCACGCCAGTTAGAATGGCAATCATTAAAAAGACAGTAAACAACAGATGTTGGAGAGAATGCGGAGAAATGGAAATTCTTCTACATTGTTGGTGGGAGTGTAAACTAGTTCAGCCATTGTGGAAGACAGTGTGGCGATTCCTCAAGGATCTAGCACCAGAAATATCATTTGACTCAGCAATCCCATTACTGGGTATATGCCCAAAGGATTATAAATCATTCTACTATAAAGACACATGCACATGTATGTTTATCACAGTAATGTTCACAATAGCAAAGTCTTGGAGCCAACCCAAATGCCCATCAATGACAGACTAGATAAAGAAAATGTGACACATATACACCATGAAATACTATGCAGCCATAAAAGGAATGAGTTCTTGTCCTTTGCAGGGACATGGATGAAACTAGAAACCATCATTCTCAGCAAAGTCACACAAGAAGAGAAAACCAGGCACTGCGTGTTCTCACTAATAAGTGGGAGTTGAACAATGAGAACACATGGACACAGGGAGGGGAACATCATATACTGGGGCCTGTTGGGGGCTGGGGGGATGGGGGAGGGATAGCATTAGGAGAAATACTAATGTAAATGATGAGTTGATGGGTGCAGTAAACCAACATGGCACATGTATACCTATGTAATAAACCTGCACGTTGTGTACATGTACCCCAGAACTTAAAGTATAATTTAAAAAAGAATATTATAGAAAGACAGATAACTTCCATTTGTTTGTTTTTGCATTCTTTTATTTTTTGATTTTTTAAATTTTGATTTTATATTATCTCTAATTTTTAAAAAAATAAACTAAAAAATGCAGTAAAGCAAAAATTTGTTTCTGTCCTTTCAAATTGTGCTATTAAAACTCTCAAAAGACTTGTTGGTAAGCTAGTATATTTGTGTTGGAATTTATATTGAAAGCTGATATGAAAGATTAGCTAGTGGTTGTCATGGTACTTATGAAAGACAACATGTACAGTTATATCAATCATCGGGAAAGAAGACTGCTTGCTATTTCATTATTCAAAAACATGGCAGGCAGGGTTATTTGGCTTTGACTCATTTAAATAACTTTATAGACATTTTTATTTCTAAACAGCATGAATCATAATCAAACATAATTTTAGTCTACAATTTTGGTCACTGAAACCATTCCTTTCCCAATGAACAGAAATTGTGTCCATGGACTCTCAATTCAACCCATTAATTGAGGGAGTTTATTTACCAACACCTTCCTCCCTAAGCGTGCAGCTAAGTCTTTTACAGTAGCTACCTTTTCCTATTCTTCTTCTCATCTTCTTTTTGGCCCTCAGTTTTCCCCAAAATGATACTAAGTTAAGGTAGTTCCCTGAAAATCCAAAGAAAATAGATGTTTGATATTGTTTTAACTATGGATTACATTTTTCACTTTTTGAATAAATTTCAATTTCCTGAATACTGTCTCCTTTCCTCTCAGCTGAAAAGCAAGTTCCCTTAGCCAAACATGCATTGTTTCTCCTCTTATTTAGTGTAAACTCCATGGGAGAAGATTTTATTTTTTTGAGACAGGTCTCACTCTGTCACCCAGGCTGGAGTGCAGTGGCAAGATCATGGCTCACTGTAACCTACCTCTCCTGGGCTCAAGCAATCCTCCTACCTCAAGCTTCAGAGTAGCTGGAACTACAGGCAGGAGCCACTATGCCTGCTAATTTTTTATGTTTTATAGAGACAGGGTCTCATTATGTTACCCAGGCTGGTCTCAAACTTCTGGGCTCCAGCAATCCTCCTACCTTGGCCTCCCAAAGTGCTGGGACTGTGCCTGGCCCCCATAGATCTTTAGTGAAGAGCAAGAGGTCAGTGAAATGAACTAATGAATTAATGAACACATGAAAATCTAACATAATGAAGGAAAGGCACCTGTAATGTTTGGTCTTAATTGGCTAGAAGTTAGAATACATGGCTACATATTTCTTCTGACTTTTTCTATTGCTTAATTTACAGCTTTAAAATTTGTTTTCGGCTTTTGCAAGAAGACCAATTGCCAGAGAATGAGTCAATTTTGTAGCATGAATGTAGGCTCTGTAATTCCTAAAAACTCAGTGTCTACCCAGGCTTCACAAGTTCTTTCCAGTCCATAACTTCAGGCCTCTACTGCATGAGGTTTAAGATCAGGTCACCTTGTTGAGGGAATGCGTTGCCTATTTCTGAGTCAGTGGCTATTACCAATTTAATAGATGATAAAATTTCAATCATCTGTCATTCATTTGAAATGTAACCATTTTATTTTATTCACCTATTTTGATTTTACCACAATTTTATTAAGTGAGGGATATTTTTTCTGATTCCCCTTAAGCTCATATTTGCTTCATATTTGTATCCATAGAAAAACACTTAATTTTTTTCTCTTAAAATGTATGTTTATTTTTTCCCAAAAGTCTGGATAAAGACCTGAAATATATTAATTTGTCCATCAAACATTTATTAATTTCTATAAAGGCCAAGAGCAGAGTGTTGAGAATCTAATCTAGATTGGGTAACATGAGAGAAAATTTATTATAATAATATTCTCATAAACAAAATAAGCAACTAGATGATATTAATATTAGGTAGATCCACAGAACCAGTGAGAATATAAAACACACACACAAACGATTTTCTTTTCTGACAAAATTATGGACAAAATCCATATTAACTAACTTGCCCTGATTCACTGTGTTCAATAGCCTTGAAATGTCTCATTTTCTTTACCAGTTGCAAGGTCTAATGGAAGCACATGAAATTGCAGTAACACTGTGAAGGGACACTGGTAGGAGATTTATTTTAAGTCTTGTGCGAAAGCTTGGTGCTCATTAAAGTGGAGGATTAATAACACTCTCCACTAGAGCCAGGTATAATGCAGGCCAGTGTTCATGTATCTAAGCACAGCACTGCAAATCCTCCTTCATCTTGACCTGCTCCCTCCTTATTACTCCAGTCTTATCCTGTTTGAGGAGAAAGTCCAAATCATGCCAAATTGCTCAATGGACATTGCAGCTTGGCTATACGTTCAAGGAGAGCAGAAGGGTAGCATGAAATTCCAATTTCTTATCTGATGTTTTAAAAGAATGAAATAAGTAGTAGTATGTGGTCTCTAAGATAATAGAGAGAAAGACCTCTTCTTTGACTGAGCTGAGTAAAAATATCGGCCTTAGCTCATGTCTATACCAGAAGCTATTAGACACACCTTTTTCTTAAGGACTATATTATAAAAATGCAATGAAATTAATGTTGTTTACTAGCAAAAGGGACAGTTCTAATTATTTACAGAAACAAGGGAGATTCCCCGAGAATGTCTGGATATAACTGGAAGCAAGAGAGTTAGGTGTATCTAGTTTAAAAACAAAATAGAAGGATCCACTACACTGGATTTCCATTTCAGTTCTCAGTGTTGTATGAATAAAAATTGTTTGTTTTATGTATATTTTCACAATGAATGGAGACTCCTTACTTATTCTTGTACCTTATTCTTTTTATTGCGAAAAAAAAAAACGCCTGGATCATTCGTCCCCCCAATTCATAAAGACTGAGGACTGAGAGTCACCTTCTAGAAATCTAGACCTACCTTTATTACAAACCCATGATACCAGGCAGGCTGCCGATATGTTTTACCAGTTGAACCATATTAGTGATCTCATCAGTTAAAAACCGTAAGTTGAATAAATCGATGCTGCACATATTCATAAACAAAGCCTAACAGAAAGGATAAGTAAATTCTATGAAATTATGACTGTGCAATTAGGAAATGAACAGATTCAATGCTTTTTGTAGCAAGATTTAAAATATATTGCAGATGGCATTTTAAAATCTTTTCTTTAGTTGAAGTTTTAAAATCAATAGAAAGAAAATAAGTCAAAAGGGGTTTCAATGAAGTATTTTAACTGCAAATTCTGCACTCTAAAATTTGGATTGGCTTTAGAATACATGTTATCTGAGACATTAAACACCCCATTTGAATCCAGTTAAAGATTAACTATTCTGTAAGAATGGAATCTATCTAGTAAAAAATATCCTCCCCTTATATTTTTGCCCCTGACAGCAAAAGAAAAGGGAGTGATACTGCAGGGGATTAAGCTAGATCAATGTAGGCAGTTATGGCAGTGGTAACCCTGAGTGACAGCTGAAGTCATTTTCTATGTCAGTCTTCCCCTCCCCTCCATACGCAATTCTTTTCTCTCTGCTCCACTTTCTCTCCCTCCCACTCTATTATATTATACTGCTTCTGTTTCCTTGTATGCTACTCTCCCTTTCCATTCCTTCTGCCTTTATCTTAGGGCTGATAGTGAGCCCCATAAAATATTACTCAGCCCTTTCTCTGGTTCTAAAATATAAAAATATTGTTGACTATGTTTATGCTTCATTAATTTCTCTTTCCTTTTTTCTGTCATGCCTGATATCCCCAGAATTGTCTTTAAAATAATCCCACAGAAGTATCATATCAAAACCAGCATATTGTGACCAATATTATTTTCTGCCTTAATTTGAATCCTGAGATAACAAAAAGGAAGATATGGCTTTTTTTTTTCTTTTAGCCAAATCAGCTCTAGGATGAGAGAATGTTGTTTTATTCTTTGGGAAAGGTTTTTCTCCTCATTAGTTTTTCTCAGACACTGAATTTTTAGACTAGTTCTCACAGTGAAATAACAGAAAATAATTTTCATTTTCCAAGTTTTAGGGAAGAGCTAATGTATTTGGAAGAGAAACTTTTACTTACCTTTTTCTGGGAAAAACTATATGGTAATGTAGACATAAACATAAAACAATGAAGTTTTATCAAAAGAAAGGGAACACATTTAGTAAAAAATCATTAAAGCAGCACATTTGAGAAACACCGGGGTGTTCGGTTGTAAGACAAAGCATTGGCTTGGGCACCAGGTCTGCCATGAGCCAGCTGTATTATTCTGGGCCAGTTACATGCTCTCTAAGGACCTTAGGTTCCTCATCTCTCAAACGAGGTATTTGTACTAAATGATTTCTTCAATTCTGGAGGCAAGACCATGACACTGAAACCATGATATATTTGGTAATGTTTTCCTTTTCAAGTTGCCAGTGGAGTTAATTGTCCACCCAGGGTGATGTCACAATAATGTTTCAGTTTCATTGCACTCTTTGATGTTAATAAGACAGACATAGAGACATAGAGAAAAATAGTACCAATTTTTTGTTTCCATTCTGATGGGAAAGTAGAGAGGTATACC
The DNA here is from genome assembly GCF_000001405.40 of Homo sapiens. Classification (NCBI taxonomy): domain Eukaryota; kingdom Metazoa; phylum Chordata; class Mammalia; order Primates; family Hominidae; genus Homo; species Homo sapiens. The sequence goes on along the minus strand of NC_000006.12, from coordinate 91,719,481 downwards.
TTCTCTTCACTGGTTAGCCATTGCTTTAGCATATTTTACACCATGCCATATTGGAATCCCTATCTATCTTAATAGAAGTTAATCAGGAAATCCCTTGATGGTATCGCTCCATTTTTATGGCCAGTCCTAATCCCTATTTTATTTAAACTAAAATCTTTGATGTTATTAGTATCAGCTATGTCTCCCAAGTAGATGATAATATAGTATAAGTGCTATGTTCGTGTGGCGGTAGCAAGCACTGAGACCCAGGCAGAATGTTAAATGCTTTACGGATAGCTCATACACTTTTTTACAAAACACTTCAAGGTAAAAATAATCATTATCCCCATTTTAAGAGTTAAGAAGTTCAGATGATAAGTAGGAGAACTAGAATTAGAACACAGGGTTCTCTGACTCCTAAGTATGCAATAATTTTTCTACTGGAAAATGCTTGATAATATAAATTACAAACATTAATATGAATTCACATTCCTATTGTTAATATTAATAGTTTGATTTGTGAGGAAGTTGCATCTTTAGTTATTCCCGGATCTAACACTTTATAAGTTAATTTTTTTTGCTGTAAATTTTGAAGTAGGAGCAGGATTGAACTAGAACTTCCCTTTTCTACACAATAGCGTTTTAAATAACTAAGTACATAAACATACACTTTCCAAAGTAAATTTTTAGTAAAGATATTAAAAAATGGCATTCATTTTAGACCCTGGCCATCCAACTAGCCTATCCATGTACTCAATCAAAGGAAAATCAAATTGACAATAGTTTTTATTCCTAAACTCTCATTTACTAAGGTACTACGTCCTCTCAATTGATTGTAAATATTAGCACCGATAGGACAGCACCCTTTGCATCTACTTTTACATACAGTATGTATAGAGTGTCTGGTTAACCAACTGAAATTGCATAGCACATTCAGTTTGGGGTGCTGAAAGTAACAATTTATGAATTGTTTTATTTAAGTTTTATGACAGAATCTAGGATCACCTTGCCTCTCCGCTAGAAACCATTGTGTCAGCAACAGGAAGTGGTTAAGACAAGGTATTTTTGGACCCACACTTCTATATATTACATGAAAGGCACCGAATGGATTTTCCCCAATGGGTTGTCTTGTTCTATAGAATGGTTGGAGTCCATCAGACAGAGACTGAAAACACACATGAACTTCTATTTTTAAATTGCATCATGAGGACTTATTGTGACATTTTCAATGATGTTAAAGGCCAAAAAATTCCCTATTGTTACAGTTTTCAAGTTTTCAATTACTGAATAAGCAGCTTGACTGTTTCACACACCTTTCTAGTGCATGACCTGTCTTTAATATTCTCTTTTTTCCCCGTATGTTATTAACATGAAGGGTAAGTTTTGTATGTGCTGTAAGCTGAAATATGGATCACATTAATATTTCTAAAGGGGTGACAGGGTAGTTAGATTCAGAAAAGAGAATTAGGTATTATATATCTAAGCAGAATAGGAATCTGTCCTAGACCTGTCCTTCTAAACCAGAGTGCATGCTGCTATGCCATAACCCCAGGACCCTGTGCTGAGTGCAACATTCTTGAAATCTTTCACTTTGCCAAATATGTGCTTTCTACTTGGTATTGTTTATTGAATGTGCTCATCTTGCATTTCTAAAAGTTAAGTTTTTTCATCTCTGTTAAAACTATTGATTGAATAGAGTGTATTGAAACTCTTACTGATTTTGTGTATGTGTTTTTGTTTTTAAGTTAATTTTAATGATGTACTATTTGTTATTACAACACAATGAAACGAATTTTCTTATCAAGCACAGTATAACTAATGCATCTAAATGAGTATTCTTCTTCAAAATAATTCATATTACAATATATAATAACTTCTGTGATGCCCACAGCCTCAAAACCGAAATAACTCCTAATTTGAAATCTCTTTTTGTGCTGGCTTATCAGCCAGGTAAATAAAAGAAGAATAAACATATGATGGTCACAAAACATATAGCCAGTAGAGCTGAGCTTTGCTTATTTTTCCTACCTTCCTTCCTTCCTTCCCTCCATCATTTTCTTCCTCTTCCTCTTCCTCTACTTCTTGTTCTTCTTCTTGTTCTTGTTCTTCTTCTTCTTCCTCTTCTTCTGCTTCTTCTGCTTCTTTTCCTTTCCTTTCCTTTCCTTCCTTTTTCTCCTTTCTTTCTCTTTCTTTCTTTTCTTCTTTCTTTCTTTCTTTCCTTCTTTCTTTCTTTCTCTTTCTTTCCTTCTTTCCCTTCCTTCCTTCCTTCTTTTCTTCCTTCTTTTCTTCCTTCCTTCCCCTTTCTTTTCTAAGATATAGTCTCACCCCATCACACAGGCTGGAGTGTAGTAGCCCTATCAGCTCACTGCAGCCTCAACCTCCAGGACTCAAGCTATCCTCCCACCTCAGCCTCCCAAGTAGCTGGGACTATAGGCATGTACCACCAAGCCTAGCTACAGTAGAGGTTTTCATTCTCATTTCCTTACTTTTCCTCTGCTTGCATGGTTCTGTCCTTTCTTTCCTCCCTTGTTGTGATAACAGAGCAGCACCTGGGACTATCTGTGAACCACATTTTGGGTATCAATAGAAGGCTGAAGTTGCCTGGATGGAATATGATTTCCCTGTTACTACAAGTTCCCTTTCCCTTAATATTCGGAAAAACTTGAAGACCTACTCTTTTCAGTAAAACCATTACAATATGAATCCTTTGCCATAGAGAAGTAACTAGAGCATGGACTGATTTTCTTAATATTCTTTATATATTAATGGTCTTTGATGGTCCAAAAGAATGGGCATGAAATACTAGGAAAATCTTTCTTGATTGGTGGGCGTTTAATGCAGCATATTTTGAACTGTTTAATGAGATTCCTTTATAAGATCCCTTGAACAAATTAGTGAAGCCTGAGTGCCTAAGGAATATAAATAATGTTGCTTTGATGATCTAATCCTTGGTTTGAATTCCAGTGGTTGGTATGGAGTAAAGAGTGAAACAACCAGGTAAATCTAGTGACAACTGACCAGCGTCATAAGAGGAAATGGTGAGTCCTTTCTCTGAGGCAGAGAGAACTCTGCTGCTACTCCTTTTCGGAACTGCTAAAGAAAGACCTGTTCCTCCCCTGTCCCTAGGTTCCTGTTGAGCCAAGTACATATCTTCTCCTCTTTATCACTCTGAAGTGACTCCCTTCTGGTTGACTATGTGACAGGCACAACTTCCACCTGGGAAGTCTCCATTCCACCCTAATTTCCACCCCTTTTGGGAGAAGGGATTATAAAAGACAATATAAAATAAGTTCAAGTGTATATTCGTTCACACAACCAAGAGTTAAGAATCCAGAGACAGAGCTGAAATTGTAACCTTAATAACAGCCTTTGGCCATGACTGCCAATATAATACACAGAAAACAATATTGGAAAAAATATTGTATTTTCTTAAAATTGACTGTGATATACAATATTGCAAGTGATTTTGTAAATATCTGTATATAAATTATCCATAAATATTACATATTTTGACTGATTTGTGTAGATTTGTATGATTTCTACAATAACATAACTCAAATAGATAAGGATCTAGACAATCCAGAATGACATTTAGATTCATAAAGGGCCACTGTTACTAGTGATAGATGTGACATCTGTAAAGCAGATATTGTACGGGGGGAAGAGTATGCCCAACAGGAAGCTACTTAGCAGGAAAAAAGATGAGTTCCTTGAAGACGAAGGACAAAGTGATAGTGCTTGATATGATTGTGTGAATGTCTCTTAGAAACAATGTCAGGTTGGGGTTTGAGGGAGGCACAAAGCTGAGAATAAAAGAGCTGAGGCTTGATTTGGAAATAAGGTGTGAATTTAAGGTTGTGAAACCTTCCCTCTCTGTAGGTCACTCCTGAGCCTCACAGCACAGTGCTGAATCACCCAACGACTCTCCCTAACTTGCTCATTTACAAGCAAACAGTACTGCCACTCTAATAACGATAACCAATAAGATATAGCTGTTTTCCCACCATTTGTAGCTGCTGTTTAATCATTAACTGTATCTTGACTATCTTTACTTGAAATAATTTATTGGTTAAGTCTATTTTGTATATCAAGACACTGCTCCGGCCTGGCGTGGTGGCTCATGCCCGTAGTCCCAGCACTTTGGGAAGCCGAGGCGGATGGATCACCTGAGGTCGGGAGTCTGAGAGCAGCCTGGCCAATATGGTGAAGCCCCGTCTCTACTAAAAATACAAAAATTAGCCAGGCATGGTGGTATGTGCCTGTAATTCCAGCTACTCAGGAGGCTGAGCCAGGAGAATTGCTTGAACCCAGGAGGCGGAGGTTGCAGTGAGCCGAGATCAGGCCACTGCACTCTAGCTGGGGTGACACGGTAAAGACTCTGTCTCAAAAAAAAAAAAAAAAAAAAAAAAAGACACTGCTCTCCACCATAATATATGCCATTTCATTACTTGATATCACAACGTAAAATTACCAACTGATTGGGTAAATCCATTGAATTTAAATACAAAAGGTCATTTTTTTCTTTCATAGTGCCTATGGAATTATTTTCCCAAAAAAATTGGATGAAAAATAATTTAATACTTGGAATGGGAGGTAGATAAAAATCTGATTGGCTATAAATGGCATTTTCTTTAGCATTTTGTTCACCTATTCTTCATGGATAGTGCCCCTTGTCATAGTGAGTAAAATCTGACAACGTTAACAGGTGATTAATCAAGATTTTAATCAGTGAAATAGCCTGGCAGGTCTAATTCCTGGTGAGAAGTCAATAATAAAACATCAGTATCTCAGTCCATGGAGCCACTATATTAACCACGGTGGTCAAATTCCTATTTATTACGGTGTTTGAGACAGGAAAATATTGCACTGTCAGATGATTATTTTTTAAGAGAGAAAATAGCCATGCAGCACAACTTTGGAATACTTATCTTTACTTTGTGTCAAAAAGCCACACTATTAAACCCCAGAGTAGAAGCATCACTTCTTCTAGCTTTCATCAGCAATCCAAAATGCCATGCAATGAGAATTTAATTGGACTAAAGTGACTATTTGACATGCAGAACTGAGCTATGTCATCAAGACTCCACAGGTAGCAAACACTTGGTGACTGATGGGTGGAAGAGAATGTACATCCTAATAAGGGGTCAAGGGATTTCAGGAGTTCTACTATGTAATTACCTGAAGCAGCAGGTGAGATAGTGCATGTCAAATAAGAAAATTACAATTCTATCACTGAAGAACATGAGCATTATATACAAAACACAAATATAAAACAAAAACTGAAGCCAAAGTTACCTTAAACTATTTTATTTTGTGATAGGCTTTTGAAAGGTGATCTTTAAATAAAACCACAGTGGAGACTTTTTGTAACATGGATGTTGCAAGGCAGGATGAATAACTACCCTGTTGGCCAACTTAGTCATAGCAGGTTTTGTTTAAATAGTTGCTTGTAGGAGACAAGTATTTATTTTAAATATAATTGATTGCATGTAATAATAAGCCATGTGTTTTATGAGATTTAGATATATTCTTTTAAATGCTTTTTCATAATCTATGTTAATAACTGCAGTTAGAGTTTATTTGCTATGATTGTATGAATAAGAAATGAAAACTTAGAATTAATTAGAATTTTTCAATAAGCTGATCACTAGCCCACTTAAGATAGTCAAATATTAGTGTATTCCTATTGGAGTGGTGCGGGTAAGCAGCTGGTGCCTTGAAATCCTCTTTTTAGAATATGCAATTGCATTTGCTCATCTCTAAATTGTATGTCATTATTTTTAGAAAAGTTGTGCTTTACTAACCTCAACATTTCAATTTAATAACCAAATAATCAACCATATTATTAATTAAATTGTCTAAAACTTACAAATTAGTTAGGCTCTGGTAGTTCTTTTAAAGTCAGTTTTTCAAAATTCAGAGTGTATTTTAATACAATTGACATCAATAGCCATTAAATTTGAAACTAGTTCACATAAGCCTGATGAAAAAAGAAAAAAGGAAGAAACAGTTGTTCCAGATATAATATGAAGAGTATTATATATCATAAGCTGGGTATTTATCAATGTCCCTATAAAATCCACTTAGGAATTTGGGTTGGAATAACAAGATCATTGCTTCTGATGAGTTCTTCTGTGGGAAAAGGCATATACAAAATGCAGCATCAGGAAAGTTTAACTTCCTCAAGGATGAAAAACTTCCTAACAATTTTCTCTTTACTGGCATAAAGAATATGAGGTAGGAAAAGGAGAGGGGAGGACTGGGAGAGGTTTCAGTGGAAAGTCATCACGTGGAAGGCAGGGGGCATGAGGACGGAATGAATTCCAAATTGGAGCTGGTCCAGTGGTGTTCTTGGCAAATGGCAGATGTTGGAAAGGAGTTGATTCTAGGGGAAAAAGATGAAAGGTTGAGGGACTGGCAGGTGGAGTTGGCTATGTGTGTGATGAACCTCCAAGGGCAGCAGCTGAGGGAGAAAAAAATAAGGTGTATTTATGCAGATACAGTACAAGATAACACTTTTCCTGGGGAAGTATCCAAAGTGCCAAAGTGAACACACAAAGAGAGAGGAAGAAGATTAGAAAGTCATAAAGGTGTAGCTTCACACAATGACTCACAACATTTTGAAGAGTCTATTCCAAAGGAGTAAAGATTTCCACAGTAATAAGGCACTGTAGTCTCAGTATGTAAAGGCTGTATGTTAAGCAAATGAACAAAGAACACATGAACAAACACTAAGCCCTATAGTCATAAGCGAGAGCCATATACACGGGGAAGCCCAGTGTAAAGTTAAACAATAGACTGAACACCTTCTTGGATACCAACAAACAACTATATTTTTAAAGATTCTGCGGTATTTTTAAAAGGCATTGGCAGAATTTTACCCCCCTGCCTGCAAATCCCATGATTCTGTAGCAATCTAGTGATAAAGAGAAAATAAAAACACATAAAACAATTAAAAAGGAATGAGGGGACAAGATGAATAGGCATATATACACACACATATATAAAATTATATATATACATATATATTTTATATAGACATACATATAAATTGTATATATGTATATAAAGAATTATATATAATATATAATTTTATACATAAAATTTTATATATACCTATATAAAGAATTATATATAATATATAATTTTATACATAAAATTTTATATATACCTATATAAAGAATTATATATACTATATAGTATGTAATATATATTATTATAACAGATATAGCTATAGTTATAGATATATATTATTATATATATAGAGAGAGAGAAAGAGACAGAGAGAGAGACACTTTGAAAGGCTTTAGGAAGAAGGAAGACTGGCTAGAGACTTCAGGACCCAAAGAAGTACCAAGCAGTAAGTTCTGAGGGTTTTAGTTGTTTCTTATATCCCTGACTGGGTACTGAAGAGGCTAACAATCCTGAAAATTATGTCATTGTTTGATGTTTTTCTCAGTGTGTTTAGAGCTAATATGTAAGAGAACTATTTTCTAAATGAAGAGGAGTAAAGGGATTGAAAGGAATGCATGGTTTTTACACTTTATTTAAACTGGTAAAATGATGACACTAGTTAACCGTGATAAGTCGTGTATCTCTAATGTAATATCTAGAGCAATCACTAAATGTCTATACAAAGACACACACTTCCATAAACACTTTAGAGAAATCAAAACAACTAGCTCTGCTGGAAAAGGTAATGGAATGATCTGCTATTGTGTCATTATTATAACTGCCCTTTTACCCATTGACAAGAGGGAAAAGTGGGAATGAAATTTTGTGTGCCATCAGCTTTGTTCACCTGACAGTTTTCCAATGAACTGGGCAGCCCCCACGAGGAGCTGAAATGTTGCATTCCAGCAAATAGGAATGCATTCACTCTCAAGCTGACTTACAGGGTTATCATCACAATTTTTATAAAAAGTTATTTTCTTTCCTTGATTTGCTTATGGATTGTATTGACATTAGCAGAATGTGTCAACTTTGTTTTAAAAAGAGCTGGGATGAAAGAGATTTTATGTCTAGATGATCACTCTTGCCTCAAAGGTGTAGAGAAAGGTTCCTTTGATTTGAGTCAATAAGTGCACTGCCTACCACTATTTTAATATATTTTGAGGTATAATTGATGTACAACAAACTGCAAATAATTAAATTTAAAAAGTCATTTATTGCATGATTTCATTCACATAACATTCTCAAAATGACAAAGTCTACACATGTAATACAAATCTATGCATGTTATCCAACACATGTAATAAAATGACATAGAACTATATACACACATTGTACCAATGCAAATACCTGATTTTGATATTGTTACTATAGTTACATAAGATGTCGCCATTAGGAGAGATAGGGTGAAGTATAAATGAGACCTCATTGTTACGCTTGTGCAACTTTCTGTGAATCTGTAATTATTTCAAAACACAAAGGCAAAAACTACATTAACAGACACTAATAGCCATACACTTCATGATTCTATTTATATAAAATTCTGAAAAAGGTAAATCTTTAGAGACAGAAAACTGATCAGTAATTGACCAGGGATGGGATTGGTGGAATGGTAGAAGGGATTGATGCAAACGGGCCTGAGGGAGCTTTCAGAGAAGATGGTATTTTCTGCAACTGGATTGTAGTGATGGCTTCATAGCTGCATGAATTTACTAAAAACCACTGAATCGTACAATCCCAATGGATATATTTTACGGTATGTTCATCTTACCTAAATAATGCTGTTAAAAAACACATTGCTGTAGTGATCAGGAGAAAAAAAAATGAGGTCATGTTGAAATTTCCTTAACTCTGCTTTTAGAAATTATCATTATTTGGATTTTGAATTACGTAGTGTTTGAATAGACAAGGGGGTGGGTGTCAACAATTTATCTGTGCCTTAGGCCTATAGAGGTCTTATCTCAGCACGGGTATGCACATGACAAGGCAGATGGCATGGGGAGGGGCCATGTGGGATGCATTGAAGGGCATCTTTTGTCTTTGTAGCTGCATTGGTTGAGAGTCATTGTCTGTTCCTTAGTGAGAGAGAAGACACTGATATCAGAACCCACTGTATATCCTTCACAGTTTGTTGTCTGTGGATATATACTTTACACATATAGGAGACTGTAAAATAGTTGTCATTACATAGTGTGTGCTCACTTATTGCCAACAAATCATTTTGCCATCTTTACAAAGCCCTAAGGAAAAAGACAAATGTTCACATAAACAAACAAAAACCCCCTAACCTCTACAATCAGGGTTCACTCTCTCAGACTACTTAATATCAAGATTCTGGTGTCCAGTATGAGAAAATAAAGCCAGTGTCACACTTTGCAGACTCTGCCCCAAAGAGATTTATTGCTACCCAGATGCATTTCACTTAAAATAGCAAAAATTTTATAACTCTATCATTTATTTATCCCACTGAACTGTAATAGTCTATTTGTTGATATCCTCCACTTAGACCACTAGTTCATGGTGGAGTAGGGGTGAGGGGTGTGGAAGGTATCCTCTATGATGCTCTTACCTGTGAGAGGATCTAACACATAAAGTTACTTAATACGTGTTTGTATAATTAATTAGTAGTTACTGGAGAGGTTCCTGTTAGTGAAAACAGACACTTGGATGACACTTGGAAGTCAGGAACTCTCTGTAGGTTTCCAATCTACAATGTAGTATTCATGAAATACAATTTAATGTGAATTCTTACGGTTTCAGCAGCTTAGATTAGACAATTTTGTGTCTCATCACAGAGGTAAAAATCTGAATTAGACAAAAGTTTGTGAGCTGGGATAAATATTTGAAACATAAAGTTGGATTTAAAAGGTAATTAAGCTAAAGGTGGTCCTAAAAACATTTTTAAAAATAGGCAAATTGAGAAAAGACAGCAAGTGATAAATCCACTACAATGAACTAGACAGTGACAGTGAGAGTAAGACAATTCTGGAGTAGCCTGTAAATTCCTCACATAAGAAAAATTAAAAAAACATAAAGCATGTATCATTTCCCCCACTTAGATCAAAACTACCATATTCTATTCACCACATGTATAGATTTGGAAAATGGAGGTTTTAGTTTACACAAACTACCATAGCAAAACACCATTGACGGGGTGGCTTAAACAACAGACATTTATTTTCTCACAATTCTGAACTCTGTAAGTCCAAGATCAAGGTTCTTGCTTATGCAATTTCTAACGTGGACTGTCTTCCTGGCTTACAGATGGTCACTTTCTTGCTGCGTCCACACATGACATAGAGAGGGGGGTGTCTCTTCCTCTTTTATAAGTGTCCCAGACCTACTAAATTAGGCCCCATCCTCATAATCTCATTTAACCTTTATCACCTCCTCACAGACCTTCCACTTCCAAACACAGTCATAGGAGGTTAGGGCTTCAATATATGAATGCTTTTACCACTGTATCACTTCCACTGATAAAAATCTTTTAATTAACTTGTTGGCTTTATTTTTATTAAATTTAATTGGTTTAGGCTATAAATTGCTACAATTGTATAACTTAGAAAGAAATAACTTCAGAAATCTATAATAGAAAAAAATACTTCATCAGAGAAAAAGTGTTTCTGTTATTGGATTTTTGCGTGAATCATTATTGTGTCATAAGCCTCTTTGATGGTGTCAATGACATTGAAATTCTATTGACTAATGAATCAGAATAAACCCTAAATTATTGTGACACAGTACAGTGTTTTGTTCTTGTTTTTTGTTTTTGTTTATTTATGAGATGGTATCTTGCTCTGTCACCCAGGCTGGAGTACAGTGGCATGATCATGACTCACTGTAGCCTTCAGCACCTGGCCTCAAGAGATCCTCCAGAGTAGCTGGAACTACAGATATACTACCATGCCTGGCTAATTTTTTTGTGTTTTTGGTTTTGTTTTTGTTTTGTAGAGATGTGGTCTTGCTATGTTACCCAGGCTGGTCTTAGACTTCTGGCTTCAAGTGATCCTCCCACCACAGCCTCCCAAAGCTTTGGAATTACAGGTGGTGAGCCGCCATGCCAGGCCCCCAAAGTATAAACTGCAAATAGTGTTCAGTTACAAAATTAGTTTTTAATTAGAAAAATCATTTTAGGTCAAACTTTCAAGTGCAACACAATTTATTTATTTTACTTTTAAAAACTTCTAGGATTTTTTTTCTTTAACAACTTAAATACTAAGGTTTAGTATTGAAAATACCTAAAAACAGAAATGACGTTGAAACTTTGGCTTATTTTTTTCTTAGTTTTTAAAAATAATTTCATAAGGAACAAAGACTTAAGACTTATCCGCCATCAGAGTTATAAATTATTCTTCCCTAGTGTTACTTAAGCTTTTGGGTTTCACTGAGGAATTCGCTGAAGTGAAAATCGGACAAAGCAATAAAGAGGTTAAAACAAGACATGGACACAATAGACCTTAGTAAACAATTAAATAATAAAAATGAAGTACTTCCATACCTTATACAAAAATATAGAAATGAAATGATTGCCTGACCTGTAAAATAAAGAAATATAATGTTAATAAACATTTCTCAGCATGCATCAGTATCTTACATGGAGCAAAATCCTCTTTGAAGCAAATGTGATTAGAATAAATTTGTCATTCAACTGTCTTCTGTTTGTAGATGTTTTACAAAATGTAAATCTTTATATAAGTTGCTATCATGCCTGCTGTTGTTATCATATCTAATACTTAATGGGAAATAGTAATTTCCTCTGTGTGGCTTTTATTGATTTAGTCAATGTTGTATGTTTGTTTAATTTCGTTTTTGTTATTCTGGCACAGGTGCCTTTCAAATTCAGAAGATATAGAGATAATAGGTTGATTCAATCACTGGGAGTATTGCCTAATTCTTATGGGATCTTCAAAAACGAGAAATATTTACTCTTTCAATTTTTAAATTCCTAAATATCACATAAGTGAAGATGTCTTTCTGGGTTTTCAGAATATCATAATAAAGCTTGTCGATAAGCAAGTAAAACTCAAGATTTTTCTAGGTACATCAATCTAACTATCATTTAGACTCAAAATCTTGTATTTGCCACACTATTAATGGTGCAGAATAGCCAACTAAAATATTTTTATGCTTTATTTTCTAAAACCCCATGGATTTTTTTTTCTCATTACATTTTATACGTCACTGTAGAAAACTGGCAAAAATCCAACAACAATAACAACAACAAAAAGTCACCTGTACTCTCTAATCAAAGACACATTGTTGATAATTTGTTATATTTTCCCACACATACAATCGCATATACATACTTGAATTTATACATACTATTTCATTTATTAATATTTTAGGAACATTATATATCTGACATAATATTCATCATGTTATTATGTCATCGTTTATTTGAATGCTCCATAATCAAAATACTTTCCACTTCTGTCTTTAGATATACTTTTGTGGCAATCATCTCTGTACAAATAATTGAGTTCAAATTTCTGATATTTCATCAAGGTAAAAAATAATAGAATTCTCAGAACAAATGATGTGAAATTCCATCCTTTATAATCTGTATTGTCAAATTATTTTTTTGATATTTTTACAAGGGCTCTGAAATCATGTACATACAGAATTCTGCCAAATGATTCATTATAAATGTTAACCCCAAATGGTTTTTGGCTTTGAACTCTCCATTAATTCTTACATGTTACTGTGGAACTACTCCAAGTATGAGGAGAATAATTTACTACCATTAAAAGTGTAATAAAAATCCATATGCCAACATTTATCTATAAATAAATAGTGGTGAACTTGGTAATAACTTTATATCAGCCAGAAATTCATTGTTCTACTATTAAAGAACTATTTAATTGTATACGTTCAATTCAAAATGTAGCTAAACTTTAAAACATTTTAAAATCGACTCTCAACATATTTCTGTTTACAAGTGACAGCAAGACAGCACCCTGGAAATGCACACTACAGAAGACGACAATAGATCATGAAACTCTACAGAACTGTCACATCTTTGTTATGTCACAGTAAGGTTGAATAAGATTGGAGTCACATATAAATTTTAATCAAGGAATTCTAGATAAAGCCAAAACCATTGCTGGAAACAATGAACCAGAACATCTTCAGCTAAATTTTGCTGTCTCAGAAGTATCCTGTCAAATGATGCACGAATAGGGAAGGGACTAGAAAGCATATCAAGATACCCTGACCATCTGTTGGTAGATTATCAAACAGAGGTTGGTGCCAATAAGGCAGTCAATGTAACATCAAGGTCAGCATCTCAAAGGTTGTGGTACCATATTTTCAAGAACCTCAAGAACCATTATGAGGGGTCACACTTAGACATACTTCCTGTGATAAAATCAAGGGTTTTTTTTTTAGCTGAACTTTGCATTTGGACTCAGTATCAAATCTAGAAAGAAATTAGTTTTCTCTACTAGGTAATATATTAAACAGTTCATTACTATTGCCTTCCATAGCGCAAGCTTACAGCATCTTCTTGATCTCCTACTTCCTTCATCCTGTCCCACCTGGGGTTGTGGTTACAGAACAGGATATACCAAATGTCGAGATCCTCTCTCTAGTTTATTAATCTAGTCCATACTATGGCCTTAAGGTAATAAATGGTTGGCTCAAGTTACAGATGAGCTCTCCAACAAACTTGACCACTACTAAATATTAGCACTGGTGAGACAGGCTTGATTTAGAAGCACATCTGTTCTTGAGGCTAGGCTAGAAAAAAGCCTGGTATGATGGCTAATTTCATCTGACAATTTGATGTCCAGACATTCGGCCAAATATTGTTTTGTGTGTGTCTACGAGTGTGTCTCTGGTTGAGACTAACATGTGAATCTGTAGACTAAGTAAAGCAGGTTACCCTCTCTACTGTGAGTGGATCTCATGATCAATTACAACTTGAATAGAACAAAAAGACTGAGGAAGAGGGAACTCCTCCTCCCCAATTGCTGGGATATTGGTCTTTTTTGGCCTTTGGACTCAGACTCGAACACTGACTGTCCTTAAGTCTTAAGCCTCCTGGCTTTAGTTAATTTATTATAATTTCAACTTTTATTTTAGGTTCAGGAGGTACATGTGCAGGTTTGTTACATGGGTATTTAGGGTGATGCTGAGGTTTAGGCTATGATTGATTCCATAACCCAGGTAATGAGCATAGTGTGCAATAGTTTTTCAACACTTGCTTTTCTCCCTCCCACCTCTAGTAATCCCCAGTGCCTAATGGTGCTATCTTTATGTCCATGAGTACCCAGTGTGTAGCTCCAATTTATAAGCGAGAACATATGATATTTGGTTTTTGCTTCCTGCATTAACTTGCTTAGGATAATGGCCTCCAACTGCATCCATGTTGCTGAAAGTACATACTTTCATTCTTGTATATGGCTGTGTATTATTCTGTGGTGTATACATACAACATTTTCATTATCCAGTCTGCCACTGATGGGTAGTTAGGTTGACTTCATGTCTTCGTTATGGTGAATAGTGCTACAATGAACGTAAGAGTGCATGTGTCATTTTGGTAAAAGAATATATTTCCTTTTTGATGTATACTCAGTAATGGGATTGCTGGGTTAAATGATAGTTCTGTTTTAAGTTCTTTGAGAAATCTCCAAACTACTTTCCACAATAGCTGAACTAATTTACATTCCCATCAAAAGTGTTAAAACATTTGCTTTTTTCTTCAGCTTCGCCAGCATTTATTGTTTTTTTGACTTTTTAAAAACAGCCATCTGACTGGTATCAGATGGTATGTCATTGTGGTTTTGATTTGCATTTCCCTGATGACTAGTGATGTTGAGTATTTCTTCTATGTTTGTTGGACACTTGTATGCCTTCTTTTGAAAAAAGTCTGTTTATGTCATTTGCCCAATATTTAATGGGTTTATTTGTTTTTTGCTAGATTAATTGTTTAACTTCCTTATAGTTCTGGATATTAGAACTGTGACGGATGCATAGTTTGCAAATATTTTCTCCTAGTATGTAGGTTATCTGTTTACTCTGTTGATTTTTTTTTTTTTGCTGTGCAGAAACTCCTTACTTTAATTAGGTCCCACTTGTCGATTTTTTGTTGTTGTTGTTGTTGTTGCAATTTGAGGACTCAGTTATAAATTATTTGCCAAGGCCAATGTCCAGAATGGTGTTTGCTAAGTTTTCTTTTAGGATTTTTATAGTTTGAATTATTACATTTAATCTTTAATCCATCTTGAGTTAGTTTTTGTATATAGTGAAAGTTAGAGGTCCAGTTTCATTCTTCTGTATACGGCTAGCCAGCTATCACAGCACTACTTATTGAAGAGGGAGTTCTTTTCCCATTGCTTATTTTTGTCAGCCTTGTGGAAGATCAGATGGTCGTAGATTTGTGGCTTTATTTATCTGTTCTGTGTTCTGTTCCATTGGCCTATGTGTCTGTTTTTGTACCAGTACCATGATGTTTTGGTTACTGTAGCCTTATAATGTAGTGAAGTCAGGTGGTGTGATGCCTCTGGCTATGTTCTTTTTGCTTAGGATTGCTTTGGCTATTTGGGATCATTTTTGGTTCCATATATATATTGGCTAATACTCCTGATTTAGGTGACTAAAGCAGTTTCAAACCCAGTCACCACATGCTGTTCTCTCAATTGGCTTTCTATCCCTTAATATGGGAAGTTTAATGGTATATGGCATATTTAGAAACTGATCACTTCTAATCTTCTACATTGGTCTATCTTGGTGCAGTTTTGGGGGTGTCATCATTTCTTTCACGTATAATTGCACAATATTCCTAATTCTTTCTTGCTTTGTCCAATTTCACCCCTCACTACAGTCTATTCTAAACACAGTAGCCAGAATGATCCTATAAAAACATGAGTCAGATAATGTCATTCCTGCTATGGTTTGAATTTTTGTATCATCCAAAACTTATGTTGGAATTTCATTGCTGTTGTAACTGCATTAAGAGGTGGGACCTTTACAAGGTGATTAGGCCATGAAGGCTCCAACTTCATGGTGAGATTTGTGTCAAAAAGGTGAGTTCAACTCCCTCTTTCTCTCTCATGCTGTCTTACCTTCCACCATATGATGAATGAAGCAGCAAGGAGATCCTCATCTGATGTAGATGCCTTGATCTTAGACTTCCAGCCTCCAGGACTGTGAGCCAATAAATTTCTATTTGTTAGAAATTACCCAGTGTGTTAATAGGTATTAACAGAATACCCATTCTTTTATAGCAGAACAAAATATACTAAGACACTTTCACAGCTAAGGAGCCACCAATGGCTCCAATCCCACTGAGAATAGCAGCCAGCCCTTACTTTAGCAGGGCTTATATCTACCAGACGTGATCACTCATTATCTCTCTGATCTCATATCCAACTTTTCCTCCTCTAATTCTCTCTGTCTAGTCTTCTTCTGTCCCCACTGTCCCTTAAATCTCTTGGCCTTTGCATCTTTTCTCTCTCTGCTTGGAAACTTTCACTTTTTCTCTCTGGGTATCTTTATGCCTTGCTCCTTAGCTTCTTTTGTATCTTTATTCAAACAATCACCTTTTTAGTGTGACCAGGTTTGACTACTTTCTCTAAAATTGTGTCCACCTCTGGAAACTCCCTATTCCCTTTCCCTCCTTTATTTTTTCTTCCTTCAGCACTTAGTTACCATGATCTAACATTCTATACATTTTACTCATTTATCTTATCTATTACCTGTCCTTTCCCTGAAATGTAAGCTCCATGAGGGCGGAGGTTTGTATCTATTTTGTTCATTCCTATATCATCAGCCCCTTGAACAGTGAGCACATTGTAGATTTTCAATAAATCCTGTTCTGTGAATAATGACAACTTAGAAATGCTGCATTAACATTACTGTATGCTGAGTGCACAAGCTTTAGAGAAGATTATCTGTAAATTAACCTCACAACATAATTTTTTACTCACTTCTAGAACTATTATGGTATATGTCACAATTCAAACCTTGAAAAATCAAGCTGAGAAGAAAAGATGTTTAAAATTATAATATGTATTTTTGGAAAGCCACAAGGCCAGGACTAATGCAGGGTATAAGCTTCTATTTGAAAACTGACTGTTAGCTCAGCCTTTTCTATTTCTTCTTTCTGACTCAAAAGGTGAAAGGATGTCAAGAAATGCCATCTTTCTCTTCTTTTTTTTTTTTTTTGCAAGGAACTGCTACTCCTCCTGGCCTACCAACATAGAATTCCTTAGAATACACCAGCCATTGCTAGCACCAGTGCCTTAATTTGGCCACAGCTAGATTTTTCCACTTCTAGACACTTTGTACAATAGGTTAACAGTTCAGGACTTGAGGATCTGGAAACACATTGTGTCCCAGGATGAATGGGACTCGCACTGCTGCTATCCCTCACGCCGCTGCTTTTATTTCCTCTCTCCTGACTCAGTGGTGACCAAGTCCCATCAATTTTGACTTTTTATCATGCTCATCTTCATACCTGCCTGTTGGCTCCCACAGCCTCTCTCTTCCGTCAGCTGCATCATTTCTCATCTGAATTGTTGTGACTGATCTTCTAGGTCTTTGCCTGGCTTGGCCTCTGATTCTTTCTATATTTTACTTGCTGAAAGATGAAAGAAATTTCAAGGCAGGGCACAGTGGTTCATGCCTCTAATCCTAACACTTCAGGAGGCTGAGATGAGGGGATTGCTTGAGGCCAGTTCATGACCAACCTAGCAAGACCCTATCTCTACAAAAAAAGAAATAATTAGCCAGGTATGGTGGCACATACCTGTAGTCCTAGCTATGCAGGAGGCTAAGGTGGTAGGATTGCTTGATCCCAGAAGCTCAAGGTTGCAGTGAGACATGATAGTTCTACCGCACTCTAGCCTGGACAACAGAGCAAGACCTCATCTTAAAAAAATATATTTTTTAAGTAAAACCTCTGAATAACCTGTAGAGTTATTATTCTATTGTTTACAACCCCTTCATGGCTCATCAATACCTCCAGGATAAAGTTCAAACTCCAAAGCATAGCCAAATCTGCTCATAATCTGGTATCTATGAAAAGTCTGCAGGTTTCACTTTTCTGACTACTGGACTTTTATCATCCAACCATGTTTAACTATAAGGATCTTTGAAAAAGCCATGCTGGACTTTTTGTGCAGAATACCATCTCTTCCACCCAGCCCATTCCTGGCAAATTTTTCCTCATTATTCAAAGCTCGACTGAGATGTCACATTCACCAGGAAGCCATTACCGATATACTTTGCCTTCTGCCTTCTTAGACCTCCTCCCTCCATTCTATTTAAAACATGGATTATCTATGCTTCCTGCACTTATATTTTTAACACACTGTGCCTGTGTTGTAATTATATGGGCTGTTCCTACGTCATTTCTTATTTAAGTTGCAAAATCTTCAGGACTCATAAACTGTAAATACTCACCATCTATCTGTATCTAAGCTGCTGATGTTGATCCTGGAAGTGGCTGATCCTCTTTCCCTACAATGACCCTCTTAGGTCTTAAAAATTACTATGACCTTGAGTAGAATTACTCAATAGTAGAATTACTATGACCTTGAGTAGAATTACTCAATAGTAGAATTACTATGACCTTGAGTAGAATTACTCAATAGTAGAATTACTATGACCTTGAGTAGAATTACTCAATAGTAGAATTACTATGACCTTGAGTAGAATTACTCAATAGTAGAATTACTATGACCTTGAGTAGAATACCTTAGCATGTCTCCATAATTATTTCGTCAGTCTATTCAGGTAAAAAACACAAAAACTTTCGTCATATAATTTATTATTTAAAAAAATGCATGCTGGTTGATTGTAAAGAGAGAAAAAAGTGTTGGTTGTTAAGTGCTAGGGAATGTGTTTAGAATTTTGTGGAATTTTGTAGAGAAGCAATTCAACTTTCTACATAATTTCCCTTTATAATTTCATAGTAACATAAATACAACATATAACTAGAATCACCATTTCTGTTTCTCTGATTTTCCACCAGACTTGGAATCTCTTGTTTTTATAGGGTCTGTAGTGCTTCTGATACCACTTGTCCCCAGTCATCCACAGCGAATGACTTGTTATCTGCCTGTTGGAGATGCCCCTGTGACAGATCCCTGACTCTGAAGGTTTTTTCTTCTTGCCACACGGTGTGCAAAGCTGGCATGAAGCTGCTGTCAGCCTGTTTGCTTCTCTGCCACTCATCCTAAGACTTACCCTGGGGATCTACTTCTTTGATTTATGGCTGGTGCTCATCACCAAAAGTTCAGTGGCTTTAAGTTGCCTCCTGGGCAAGTCCTTTGACCAAGGCACTTTGAAATGATCCAGCCTGCAATCTTCGCTCCATCAGTAGGTTTTCTGAGAGGTAGAGGGAGAGAGAAACCTTGGCTGTCTTTAAAGATCTAAGGTATGATATAAGATTGCATATGTTAAATATT